>NC_000007.14:120082536-120385566 GCF_000001405.40 Homo sapiens | reverse complement strand
TTCTCTTATGGCAGATTATAAGTTAAAAGTTCTCCCTTTTCAGCATTCATCTATTTATTTGCTATGTTTTGCTTACGTTGGGGGTAAACATGGATTGGTGATGACTTGGATGATTCTAAACTCAGAAAAGTCACTTATTCGACCAACATTTACTAAGTCCCTAGTTTTTAATTTTTTGCATGGGGTACTCAGAGACATATAAGGAATTTATGCATTCAAGATATTCATCTTTACGAAATGATGGGATTTATGCTTTAAAAGTTGTGTACAAATGGGCCGGGCATGGTGGCTCATGTCTGTAATCCCAGCACTTTGAGAGGCTGAGGCAGGCAGATCACCCTGAGCTCAGGAGTTCTTGAACATGATAAAACCCCGTCTCTACCAAAAAAAAAAATAGTCGAGCGTGGTGGCATGCACCTGTAGTCCCAGCTACTTGGGAGGCTGAGGTGGGATGATTGCTTGCGTCTGAGAGGCAGAGGTTGTAGTGAACCAAGATCGTGCCACTGCACTCCAGCCTGGGCAACAGAGTGAGACCCTGTCTCAGAAAAAAAAAAAAAAAAAAAAAAAAGTTATATACAAATGCCTTTGTTTACACAAAGAAAAGTAACCAGGAGTAACCAAATAGTCTGTGAAGGTAGAAAAGACTATAAAATACAACTCGTCTTCCCGAAACTCAATCTTTTTTCCATAAGAACAGAGTTTTGCCTAGGCACAAGTTCTCCTTGTGTATGGCTGTTTCCAGCCTTCTCAGCAGCCAGGCATAGCCATGTTATTAAGTTCTGACAAGCTAAATGTAAATGGCAGTCATATGAGCTAGTTCTGGATTTTTTCCTTCAAAATAGTTGAGGGTTTTATTTTCAAACAAGGGTTCACTTAAGCTATATTTTGTTTGATATCTTCTGGGCAGGAAAATGAAAGTTCTAGAAAAATTGTGTGTATTCTGTGTAAAAGATATTTAGATCCAGTAATAAAGTGGACATAGTTATAAAGGTATGATATTTCATGTATATGCAATGTGCTGTATTATAGTGACATAATTACAGAAACTCAAGTTAACACTACAGAACATATTATTCAGGGGTAGGAGCTTAAGATGCATGCTGAGAGCATATGTGTGTCACTGGTGGAGCGCAAGGAGAAGTTTTTGCTGATGAAGCTAGTGGTAACTTGTATATTTAAATAATACCCACTTTGACAGTCTTTTGCTTCCTGTTTATATTTAATAAGAAAAGTTACAATGGATGTATAACTAATAAGTTATGTGTATAACTTCTTAGATATAACTTGCAGTCAGCCCTCTGTCCAGGTTCCACATCCATGGATTCAACCAACTATGGACAGAAAATATTTGGGGGGGAAAAAAACAATGAAAATATCGCTATAGCAATAAAAATACAAATAAGAAAACAATGCAACATAACTGTTTACATCGTATTTACCTTGCATTAGGTATAATATGTAATCTAAAGATGATTATGGGAGGATGGGGTAGTTGTATGCAGATACCATACCATATTATATCAGGGACCTGAGCACTCACAGATTTTGTTATCTGCAGGGGTCCTAGAAGCAATCTCTCCTGGATAACAAGGTTAGACTTGGGATATACACAATCCTTGTACATTTGCCAGATGTAATTTAATTAGATTGATAACTCAGATAGGTCTTGTCTCACTAATCCAGTCTTTCTCACATATAAACAAGCATGCCACTAAAATGATTATAAGGTGCACTGTGAAGTATATTTTGCCTTTTAAATAATTATACCTTATTTGACACTGCAAGAGACTGTTCCTGTAGTTAAGCTTTACACTGTATTTTTTTCTTCTGAGTTGAGATATAAAGGGATAACCCAGTTCACACACATGTGTGGGGAGGTGTATACAGACATATTTACATGTTACATGTATGTACACATTGAACGTGGATCAAATGTTGCTTATTTTGGTATATTCAACAATGTTTCACTAAAGTTAAGACCTCTTGCTCATTCTGTAATCATATGTCAACAAGTTGGTGACTTTTGACTAAACTTTAGAACATATTAGTATTAAAATTCCATATAGTGAGTGCACTATAAGGCTTCACATGCATTTAAAATTCTCCAATAGTTTAATTTCTATTTTCTAACGAAAAAGAAGAAAAACTTAATTTGAATATTATTCACATATATTGTTTCTTAAGTAATTTGTTCAAATAAATTAACGACTATAAGGTGCCAAATGGAAAATAAGACAATTTAGAGTAAATGCGGGTAGAAAGGCAACCTTTGCAGCCTAGATGCCATTGGCTGATACAGAAGTGGATAAGACAGACAGAAAATCTGGCCAATGAAAAAGAGCAAAAAGAAAGAGGAAAGGTAGTAACTTAAATAATGCATTCTGCATCCAAAGGGGATTATTGAATGAGGAGTGGTAGGATATCACTCAGAATTAATTTCAGAACAATTTGTATCATCTAAACTTTTGGATTCACTTTTAAATCATCTTCTTCATGAGAAATTTGCCTTAAAATCATGTGAGTCATTGGTGAGAACTGCAAACTTAGGTGTAGCTAACTAGTGACAGGAAAGGTAATGTCATTTAAGATTATGAGAACGTTTGATCTTGACATTGGACTCTAGTAAACATCTCCACTGAAAAATATTGACTGCTGATTTTCGAACTCTGAACAGAAGTAGAAAGATTGTGAGTAACATAATACATATCAAAACCAAAATATACTCTTAAGAACAAAGAAAGGTGATCTAAAACATAATCAAAGAGTAATCCTTGGAGTTGCTCCAAGGGATTTATTTTGAGCAAGTACCCCCAAAGTATTCACAATAGTATAGTAAAATTCTATTGTGACTGTTACTTAGTGGAAGATATTTTTAAATTAAACCTTAGCTTTTGTTAGAGTAGGAAAATATACTCAAGAAAAGATACTTAAGTTGTTTATAAACATTTTGTTAATGTTGATCATTAATTTAGCATTACAAAAAGGTAAGAAATTAACAAGAGTAATACAGCAGACATCCTGTTCTGCTCTAAAGTAAAATTTTATCAACATGTGCCAGTAAGATTTTTCAAAAATCACCATGATTACATTTATATTTGAATTCTAATAATGACAGAAACTATTAGTTCATTTATTACAAAAATGTATTAGAATTATTCTATAATGAATAGAATGTTTTTCTATGCTTGTACTCTTCTAGCAGCTTAGCGTAATTTACCATATTCTTGTTCAGAACATAGACATCTATGCCCTATAAAATTTTCATCCTTGTGCTCTTACGTGTCCTATTCAGTATCTGAATAATTAGGATCATGGCTTCATATTCAAACTTTAGACAATGAGAAGATTAAGTGGGGAGAGTTGAAGAGTATTGGATCCTCTTACTAATAGATTCTAAAAACTTGTCCTTATGTCCTTGAATTTAAAAAGAAAGGAAAACAACACTTTCTCCTGGTTGGAATATGCTTCCAAATAAGCTATATGTTTTTCAAACTCCTCAAGAAAAAATAAAAATGTGTTCAGCATAACAAATGTGATTGGATTCTGGATAGAACTATAAAGTAAATAAACCACACGAAACTACCAACTATGCTCTTATCTCTCTAAATACAAAAATGACGGATTTGACTTTTGAATTTTATCATTTTTTGAATAGTTTACTGTTAAACCTCATAAGAAATTACTTGTTTTCTCCTTTTCATTTCTTAAAATTGAGTGGGAAAAGTCATTTAAATAAAAATTGT
Source organism: Homo sapiens (assembly GCF_000001405.40). Lineage (NCBI taxonomy): Eukaryota > Metazoa > Chordata > Mammalia > Primates > Hominidae > Homo > Homo sapiens. The sequence continues at coordinate 120,381,823 of NC_000007.14, read as the reverse complement.
TTTTACATACTTAAAAAGACTTTTTACTAGAAATATTCAATCAAACCAAACCTTATAGTTATGTATCACAGAACCCATTTGCTCAAAATTTTGGCATGCTTTGTTTCTTTATCATTTTAACCTCTAATTTTGACTAACTTTTCGGAGATCTTACTTCTCTCTGAGGATAATCGAATCTTCCCCAGGTATAACTGAAATTACAAATGACAGTTCTATGTATTACTCTACCCCATTAATTTATTTTTATTTGTCCATGTAATGCCAAAAAGGCTTTCTTTTGTTCCTCACATTATATCAAATTAAAAAGAAAATAAAGCATTTGGCAGAATGTAGCCAGAAATAAATTTACCATGTCTTATTTTTATTGTCTATCATATTATTACCAATAAAACTTGAAGTTGCTTCCCTTGGGCAAAAAATACTTACAGAATATAATTACCTTTTGGAAAATAAGAATTGTATTATGTGTAATATTTTGTTACCTCTTTCTTTAGCAATGCATGCTGAGAATTTTTCAAAACTTTAAATCTGTTGTAAGAAATATCTTTATTTGTTTATTTAATTTTTTTGAGACACAGTCTCACTCCATCATCCAGGCTGGAGTACAGTGGCGTGATATCAGCTCACTGCAACCTCCACCTCCTGGGTTCAAGCGATTCTCCTGCCTCAGCCTCCCAAATAGCTGGGATTACAGCTATTTTGTATTTTTAGTAGAGATGGGGTTTTACTATATTGGCGAGGCTGAGCTTGAACTCCTGTCCTCAGGTAATCCTCCCACCTCAGCCTCCCAAAGTGCTGAGATTACAGGTGTGAGCCACCAACCCCAGCCTGTAAAAAAATTTCTTTAAATCTTTGCTGGTTTTGAAAACTAAAACCATTTTGTGAATTTAAAATAATTTATTCAACCAATTCACTATTGTTAAAAAGTTACCAATGCTCTTGAGGTAAATGCATCTAAAACAATTTTTAATAACACATAAATATGAACACTTAAATTCTGCATTCCTGATTATGTATATAGGGTAGAATGCAGGCTCAGTTTGGGTTTTGGGAAACAACTTACACCTATCTTTTTTTTACGATATGGTCAATGATTTTTCTCTGAAGTGATGAACATCTATATAACAACTGGATATTTTTCTCAGAAAAATATGTAATGTCATAACATTAGTAAATGTGTAGCAATAAAATGCTAAACTATATACAAAAAAGCAAAGCCACACACAAAAAGAAATTAGGTTTATTAAATATTATCTATCTAATGATGAGTTAGGTTTAAAAAGCTATTATGTGACTCTTTCAATTGTTTTGTATTGTCTTTTATTTTTCTTACTTCCCAAAGTTATACTACTTTGGAATTTGTGCTGTATCAGAAGCCACTTCAGGTCCCCAGTTGTCAGGTTCCAGTTCATCACCTACACACTCTCTGACCTAGGACCCTACTTGCTTCAGAACAAATACAGTGCTTTATAAATGGAAACAGGAAAGGCATAAATAAATGGACAAAGACAATGACATTCTACAGCACATAGAGAGTCACATAAATGCAGTCCACCTTGGTTCTATTTCTAGTATTATTAATGATTATGTTAGTAAAGTAATTCTGGCAAGGTTTTATAATATTCCTACATAAAATATGTATGGGTATCAGTGTTCTCTTCTTTGTGCAGTAGCTGTTTCTGAAAGTTATCTAATATTGAACTAGATTTACGATACTTGCTATAACTTTATTTCCTTATAAATTCATATTTTCGTGTATTGGATATATTTATTGATTGCAATTTATTTGATATATCATATGAAAATATGTACAGGTCAGGATAGCGTAGGTTATACTGTAGTAACAAACAAACTCCAAAGCCTAGTGTCATATCATAGGAGTATCATAATTAGTATTAATAACATATCTATCTTTCATTGACATAAAGTAAATTCTGTATCTGCAAAACTCCAGGGCAGCTATTTTAAATAGTGTGTCTCAGTAATCTGAGGTGCCTTGACTTTGTGGTTCCACTATCTAGACAGGAGTCTTTCAGTTGGCCACAGCAGGCAGAGAGAGGCTGAAAAACAGGGCAGAAGTGTTTCCCTGCCCCTGCCCAGACATCAGACATATTTGCCCCAGTCACATTAGGCAGAACATTATGTAGTCTAACTCAAGATCTTTGTAAACTCTAGTTGCATTATACTCAACAAGGAGGAATAAGAATCAAATCTCTTAAAAAGAGTAATGGGCCACAGACATAAATAAGTTGAGGATGACACGTTTTAAGAATGACTTAAAGAAAGGCAAATTTGAAGTTTCTCTGTCAGTCACCCAGAGATGTTTGAGTATATTTTATTTTATTGAAATAAACTATATTTAATATGTTTTTCAAATAACTATAGTCAGCTAATAAAGAAGCTAGGGTTATGGAATTTAAAATGAAGGCCAGTTGTGACCTTAAACAGGACACACTATCTAATTTATCTGTACCACGATTCCCTCAACCAAATACTGGCAAGAAGTATTCATTAATCATTACTATTTCCCTGACATATGTTATTACATATGGATGAAAGACTTCTTCTATGCTGGTATGCCAATAACCAAAATATTATCAGTGGGATTTTCAAACTCACCTTAACTATAATATCAAGTTTGGAAATTCCATGGTACATAGAAAATACACTGTTTTACTTTCCTGGGCTATGATGTATGTTAGAATCATTTTATTCCATTCATAAGAAAGAGTTAACTTTGAAGAAAACTTATATTAAGCATTTCATATATAAAAATTTTGCATGAGTAGAGATCTGTCTGCCTTTAAATAACTATTAAAATTTTCTGGCCACTTATTTCAGTTTTATTGTATTTTCAGTTACAAATGAGTTCTTCTCTGAAACATGCATATAAATTTCCAGCATAGATTAAAGTAGAAGACATGAGCCATTTGCCACTTAGAATGTAATATTACAACTAAGATTTTATCACCCTCTCAGGCCTTAGAATAGTTCCAGTATATGAGATTCTATATTTTTTCAAAAGGTAAGAGTCCTAATAAGAAAGTAAATTATTCTTGCCAGATTTTTGAGATGTTGGCATTTTTGAATTATTACTTAATGAATTTTAAAGTTATGTTGAAAGCCGAAATCATCCCTAAAGATTTATATGACAAGGCAATCCAGTAAAGAGTCACATTTTTGTGAACCTGCTTTACACGTAGTTTTGTTGTAGTAATAATACCGATTATCTCAAATATCTTATGCACTTAACAAAAGGCTTTTCACTGTATTTAGTTACTAATTCACTTAAAATCCGATACAGTAGGTGTCACTGGGGAAAATACAGCGGCCACTAAAGAAATTCTGCAGCTTATTCCTAACTCCCACCAAATATTTCATGGAAAAAAAACTTCCACCTGAGTTTGGGTGAGTTTAATCATGGAAAATCTATAAACTTTGTGATTCCTGGTGTAAAATTTACATTTCAAATGTTCTTATCAAAATCTGCACTTCCTAAAAGAAAGCAATATCATACTTGGTTTTTCATGATTCTGCCGCTAGTATAAGTCATCTTTTCAGCCCTCAAAATATTAATCATGGCATGTGACAATCAGAAGATGAATTTTAAACCATTGCATATAGAATTACTTTTAAAATATAAATTTTAATATTTAAGATTACACACACACACAAATACACACGTATATACATACAGAAAAGAGAGTAACATTTGTTTGCCTTAAATGTTCTAGGCTTAAGTGTTTCCTGTGTTCATTCATTCATTATTCATATACTACCTTCTATGCATCATTCTCTCTCCTCTAAAAGTATACAGTCTAATTGGACAAGAACAATCAAATAAAAAGTTATGAACCAATAATTTAATTGCTTTAGTGGGGGTCACATTACATATGCAACATGAGCATACAAAAAGGGACATATAAGCTGGCTGATGCGTCACAGAAGGCATTGCTGAGGACAATGTAGCTTCTGAGATTAAGCTGAAGGGACACACAGAGGCTTTCTGGGTGGATAGACTGGGAAAGAGCATTCCAGGAAGGGAGAGCATGTGCCAACCTATGGAAATACGAAACAATTCAGCAAGTTCCCAGAATATTTGCCATTTAAAATGATAATATAAAATAATACACTGACTCCCATTCTTACAAATAAAAATAAGCTGAGAGTTCAAGAATCTAAATGTCAGGCTTGAATATGAATTTTTGTCTGTCTGACTCCTTAAACTGTTACCTTAACACTATATACTCTTTTTTTTTTCTTGGGGTGAGGGAAATGAGAAATGACAATTATTTACAAAATCAGTAAACTTAAAAATTCTGTCCTATCTAGGAAAGCATCTAACAACATACTACTCAATGATTAAATGGAATATTTTAGAAATCTGTTCAAGAAGTGAAGGAATCACATTTTTAACAATCTCACCACAAACTCTTTCTGGTTGTCAAAACTTGAGCCCACTACACTTCTAGTAGTTTGCCTTCTCTGGATGTATTTTTCACACAGTAAATGAAGGAACCAACTATAATATTCTAAGATAAATACTTGAGCTCTATATCATAACTTGCATTCAAAAATAAATCTATATCCTATATTTCTCTGATCCTTCTAAAAAATCCTCAGAAGGAGTTAAGTCAGCATTATTACTTTCAGCTTTAGAAGGACAAAATTAACTTTTATACAAGATACGTGATCTATCTAAAATCACACAGCTGATACATAGCTGAGTCAGAATTTGAACCCAATTTTTTCAGATTTCAATTTCAGCAGTTTCTTCAACACTGTATCTAATGCTAAACCAAACATCAAATTGCAATTTGAAAACATTCCAACTTCAACTTCAGGTGAAACATTAAGGGAAATTGTGTGAACTGAAGACATACATCTCTCTAGGTGAGAGAAAAAACCTGGGCTATAGATTCTTCCAATACAATATCAGAACAGCTGAGCAAATATAAAATATTTAGTGAGTTGTGTGAATGCTTTAAAGAACACAATTAACATACATAAATTTGAAAAACTCAGGATAGCTGATTTTTTAATGCTGTCAGTTTAGCATTCAGTTAGATAAAATGGATTGAGCTTAAAGTTTTTCATGATTCTTGAAAAGTAGAATTAGCTATTGAATTGAATCAAATGGATCAATGAGCTTTGGCTAAAACTAAATATCACCATTCAGTTCAATATTTCAAAGAGGGTAAGTTTAGGACTAGAGATACTAATAGAATGCAAATGTATTTTTATATTTTATAATGATATATAAATACATATCATATATATTTATTTTCACTTTATAGATTATTTAATATTTCTATTTTGTGCCTATGTATTTATATTTTATTTTATAAAAATATAAGTAAAAATATTTTAAAAACTGTAACAATAGGCAGATAGCAAGTACCAGTAAGTGAACATATTTGAGGTTTTTAAATAATTTATTCACCTAATTCAAAGAAAATCCAAAATTAGTTCTTTAAAAGTTGGCAGAAGACGTTTGCAAGGATTGACAATTGTTCTTAGCTCATAGTATAACCATGCCTTTCCTCCATCCAACAGAGCCCTTCTTATGACAACCAGAATTCATCTAAAATTCAATGGAATATCAAAATAAAAGAAATAGAATACAGATAAAAAGTCACTGGGAGTTATTTTTGATTATCTTTAATAGTTTCAAACTATTAAAGATAGTTAAAGTTATTAAACTATTAAAATAATTAAACTATTATCTTTAATAGTTTCTTGACTGGGAGATAAGCAAAGGATATTGAACATGAATTTACTTATCCTAGAACTTTATCAAGGGTGTGGCTCTGCCTACGCTTGGTTAGCACTGAATGACAGCAAATTCTGTTTTAAGCCCAATATACAACTCAGATTTCAATAAGAATGTTTGCTATGACAACTAATTTTCCTTATAGGATTATTTTCCCACTAAAGCCCTACATATCTTATTTTGATTAAATGAATACGACTTGTTTCCTTTTGTAGGTCATGCTGGCCTTAATTGGGGGCAGAAAGTAGTTATTTTATAACGTCGAGGAGTAATATCATAATCATTACAACACCCACGCAAATAGATTTAATTCATTTATAAACTTGAGCTTCGTCAGGAAAACACCATGTTAACTGGCTTTTCAAATGCCAGAGAATGGTTCATTAGCTTTAACTGTAATATTATGATGACAATTCGTGTAATAGAATGAAGAACCATATCTTTTTATCTATATAAAAATAATGCCCTCTCTGATGAATTTAGGGTTTCTGACAGTTCAGTTATCAAGCCTTGATATAAACTCATGCAGCATATTGAAAACGCATATTTCCACTGTTATGGTACATTTAAACTGACAAGAAATAGAACTGAACAATGATTCTTTGATCTAAAAAGATTCTGTATGGTATGTAATAAGCATTATGCCACCTGGTATTTACACAGAGGAGACTGAAAGGAGTCTAAATTTCCAAGTGTATCTTGATTAGAAGTGGCATGGATGGAAGTTCTTGGTGAATAACTTTTTAATACGCTGATATTTTTAATAGTATTTTGTGGGGGAAAAGGTAGCTATTTCACTTATTCCTGCAAAAATGTTTGTTCTTCTAGAAACAAGCAATATCTACACAAATCATAAATTCCATAGTTTAAGATACTTCAGGGATTTTAATTTACTGGTTGTGGATTATTTATCAAATGACAACAACAAAATAAATCAATAAATAGCAAAAACAAAACCATGTATTGTGTACCTAATATGTTCCTGGCATTATTCCAAGAGCTGGGCATGAGGCAAGAGACATCTCTGTTAAAGAAGCCCAAGTTCTCATGGAGAGAAGACTGTAAAGCAGAGATTTGACTAGCTCCTTTTCCAGGAAGGGCCAGCGACAGTGTAAACACTGAAAAGAGCCAGTGGTTTGGCCTAAATACAAGACAATTGGTGAAGCTCATCAGAAAAAAATATCAGATATACACCTTAAAAGATTACTAAAATCTAGCAGCGTGGGTGAAGGGAAAGATGCACACTCAGGCAGAAGAAACGCAATGATCCAGAAATGTCAAAGGACAAAGTGTGTTTGTGACAAGAAAAGTGCTTTAGTAATTTAGAATATGCCCTACAGGCTATGAGGCTGAAAGGAAAGGCAAAGCCACATGAAGAAGGACTTGAATTGCCCATTAAACAGTCTAAATTTTATCTGAAAATCAACGGGAAATCGTTAAAGCAAGTCTCTTAATTAAGATCAAAGTATATATTAAGACGCTTACCTGGTTGGCAACTTCAAAGATGAAACCCATGTACAGCAAGTCTGAGAGAGATACCTATATGGAGGTACTTGAAGTAATTCAACTAAGAAATATCTTAAAATTATCACAGAAAACGTAATTAACCCTAGTTCGAATCCACTTTTTCGGGGGTTGGGGGAGTGGGAGGCACCAAACTAGATTGTACAAAAAAAGTAAGCCGACTAAGAATTGTAAAATGTTTCTTTAAAATACAAAAGTTTTAACTGAGTGGTTACAAATCCATAACTTTCGGACTTGAATATCTACTATGAGGTAAAAATTGTCATAAGCATTAGAATTTTTTAAGAGTTAAAAATAGTATGAAAATCATGTGAATAAGTACCAAAAATTACATTTAATCAAAATATAATAATGTAATTCCAAGTTAAAAATAGGTTTCTTTTCAACATAGACAAAATAAGATAAAAACCTACTGGAATAGGGAATTGTAGGCCACCTTTTGAATTACTTTCAATCTGCACTTTCAAAAAATATGGTAATTATGAAAGCAACTTTTTAAAATATAAATAAGCTAGCAGTAGGATCAACTATCTTAATTGCTTATATTTCTGGATTTATTAAATAGCCCCAAATGCGATAGAATATATAATTACTATCTATATTTAATTTTCATGTAATTTCAAATCTTTTTTAAAAATTCATAATGGAAACAGATAAACTTCAAAGCTGTGTAATTTGAATGGTACTGTCTTAATTCTTCAATAGTGAGTAGGAAAAATCTGTCAGCAAATTTTCTCAAATTTAATACTCTCCTCCATACACAAAATAAATTTTTAAAGAAAAAGCCAAACAAGTTTCATTAACATGAACATTTTAATTTTGTCTATGTCTACTGGCAGGTCTATCCATGGGTCTATACATTCAAGTTATAAAGGTATTAGATATCTAAGGATTTAAGTGTTCACACTGATGATCGCTTTCTTCCCAGTGTGGAGATAGCTCTTGGATGCGTCCTAAAAGTATGGAAGGTTCCTCCTTACAACAGCACAGATATTCCAGAAGAACAATTAAGTTCATTATTATTCTCATAAATGAGGAGCAATTTAAAGCTAAGTCATTTCTAAGGAGTAGGAAAAGAGCTTTTCAGATTTGCATATGAATCACTTCTTATAGTTTCCTGCTTTCCAATGTGATATGATGAATGTACACTGGCTATTCTGGATTGTATTGTGCCAGTTTATACCAGTAAGAAATAGCAGCAGGGCCTAGGGGCAGGCTCTGTTCTCTAGCTACCAAAGAGAGAAGATTATTGTATTCTACTACCTTATTTATGGAAGAAAAATGAAGTAAATCAATACTATATTCAAAAATCTAGCCTTAGATCAGAGGAAAGCAACAAGATGAGGAAATGCCAGGATATAAATAATCCCTATAAAAATTAAATAAGTTATATCCTGAATTTAATAATGAATTACACTAGGAAGTCTTGGAGCATTGGCAATGAATAGGAACATTCTGAGAGGACTCAGGCACAAGTCACTGAAAGGTATCATTTTCCAGAGAATATTCTCGTGAAGTTAAAGGATCCCTGAGGGGAAATGAAGCTAAGGGCACAAATCCGAAGTAAAACTTTATAAAGGAAATTCAATTCACAGACTAACTTCAGTCCAAAAAGTCCAGATTCATAAAGACTTGTAGTTGAAAGGCTGGTGGCAGCTATTCCATTCTGGGGACTTAGCAGAGAGCTTTGATCCTGGAGTATTTGACAGTACTAAATTTAGCAGTCCTGTTCCTCTTTGGAAAAAGAAACCTATCAGGTAAGAAAGAAGTTCATAGTTAAACAAAAAGACGAATTTCTATTCACAGTTTTGATTATTTGTGTGAAAGTTCTAGAGTTATCATTTCAAATAAAGGAAAAGAAAGGAGATTTGTTACATAAAGGGCCTACAATTTAATAAAACAGGTAGTTCTTTATAAAAAACTGAAAATCATTACAATACAATACAAAGTTTGTTTTTCTAGGTCTGAAAACTATGAGAATGTTTTTGTCTTTAAAATCAAAAACAAAACAAAACTTGAGTTTTTAAATGTATTGAAGTAAATTATTTGCAGAGTAAATAAAATGAATTCAGATTTTTAAAAAAGCAAACTTTGCTCATTGCCCAGTGAACTAACAGCTGTAATATTAAATTTTGAAACCGTTTATGAGAGAATTCTGCATTTTTTTTTCATTTTCAGATCAACTTGATTTATACCACTTCTAGATCTATAAGAGAAGTGGAGCAGTGTCGAGGAATGGAGTTTAAAGAGAAATTCGAGTGAATGCCTTGCACACTGGAGAATCTCTAGCAAAACAGTACTTGAAGAAAGAGAGTAAATTACACTTATAAGAGTATCATCAAATTATCCTAAATCTCAAGAAAATTTCTGTCACAGATCTTATACCTTATATCTAAAACAATACCAAAGAATCAGCAATCCCACTACTGGGTAGATAACCAAAAAGAATAAAATCAGTATGTCCAACAGGTATCTGCACTCCTATGTTTGTGGCAGCATTATTGAAAATGGCAAGGATATGCAATCAACCTAAGTGTCCTCATCACATGAAGAGATAAAGAAAAGGTGGTATACACGGTTATATGTTGCTTAACACCAGGGATACGTTCTGAGAAATGTGTTGTTATGTAATTTTGCCATTGTGTGAACATTCCTGGAGTGTACTGTACATACACAAACATAGAGTTTGTAGCCTACTAGACACCTAGGCTGTATGGTATAGCCTATTGCTCCTAGGCTACAAACCTATATAGCATGTTACTCTACAGAATACTGTAGGAGTTGTAGTAGAATAGTAAGTATTTATGTCTCTAAATATAAAAAATGCAGTAAAAATAAAGCATAAAAGACAAAGTACACCTGTATAAAATATCTACCATGAATGGAACCTGCAGAACCGGAAGTTGCTCTGGGTGAATCAGTGAGTGAACATTGAGTGAATGTGAAGAAAGGGTCTTATGGAATCTTAAAATCAACTTGTTGAGAAAAATCCACAGAAGCCTCCCTCCCACTCAACTCCATGGCCTCAATCAGGAAACTTATCAATCAAATTTCCTCACAAGGGTTCTCTGCCTAGGCACTGGTTTAGATAGTCTAAGAATTCTTCCAGTCCAAGAAATACATTAACTGTGTTTTATCTTTTCTTTATAGTACTTGCCACCTTTGGAAAATGTCAGCAGATTAGCAGCTGCAAAGTATGTAAGCATGATTAAAAATAAGGCAGTGCCCCTGTGGTAGATCAGAATCTACTCAGAAATTATTTCATTTCCCTCTCTGTGGGGCCTGTCTGTGGGACATGTATATAGCAAGGCTCTGCTGAACTCAGGGATGGTCACATGACTTGCTTTGGCCAATGAAAGGTGGGCAGAGGCACATTCTGTCTACAGATAGAAGATTAAAGAGGAAGTGTACGGTGTGGCATGTTCTCTCTCCCATCAATTACGATAGAGACATGTCCCAAGACAAGGACTGCTTCAGTGGCCTGAGGTCCAAAATGAAGGCAGTAAGAAGCAGAGCTGCAACTAGGGAGAAATAAACCTCTGTTGACAGACTGGTTGTTCCCACAGCATAAGCTAACCTATCTGGAGTAATAAAATCACTCACCTTCAGCACTGTCAACACTTACCAGCTCTGTTATTTTTTTCCTTGTAAAGAAGCAAAAGAAAATTGATTCTAAATAAGAGGTATTTGTTACCTTTCCCTGTTTGGAGCTCTGGTATAATCTTTGTTTCAAAATATGAACAGTACAGATTATGAGCACATATTCTCTAACACCAAGATTTAAATCCAACTCTGTCCCTTTTCCGCTGTTATCTTGGACAAGGAACTGATTTTTCTGTGCTTTGCAGCTTCTTTTGTAAAATGAGAATAATAATAACTAATCCTTTACAGGATGTTTTGAGTGTTTACTCTCTCATGTAAAATAGAGAGTATCTGGCAATGGCAATAATATGGATGTCATTATTTACCATTAATATCACTATTATTATTTGCTATGAATGTTATTTGCCAAGGTGTCCATGGCTTCTGTAGGTAACACATGTACTTTTGTGTCTGTCTGAATTCAATACTAATCCATTAGAAAATTCTGTTGACTCTACATTCAAAATGCGTCCTGATTGCAAATAAGTCAGAAGACATCACTTATGCCCAAAACTTTGCAGTAGCTTCCCATTTATCTCAGTGTAAGAACATCAGCCAATTGTGCCCTCCAGGATCTGCATCTGGCCACGCCTCCCCTGTCCCTTTCTGATTTCCTCTCTTGCTATTCCTCCTCTGCTTACTTTATACTCCAGGGAGCTATTCTCCCTGCTCAGTTTGTCCTTAAACACTCCAGGAAATGCTTTTACTTTAGGACCATTGCTCTAGCTCAGTCCTCTGCCTGGAATGATCTTCTTTCAGGAATCCCCACTGCCAAGTTCCTCACCTTCTTCACATCTTTATCCACATGTCATCTTCATAGGAAGGCAAACAGACCATCCTTTTGTGTTGTTTTGTTTTCATTGCAAGTCTCTTCCCCATCCACCATATATACTCTGGCCCCTATGACTCACATCTACATTTGCTTTTTCATTTTTGTCACAGTACTTACCGTTTAACATAGTATGTAATGTGATATATGTATAAGTTCATGATTATCTTCTATCTGCCACAAAAATGCAAGCTTTATGAGGAAAGCGTTCTTCTTTTGTTCATTGATTCCAAGTAACTAGGTACTGCCTGGTACATAACAGGTGGTAAATAAATATTGTTGTCTGAGTGAATGAACAAACTTGAGCATACTGTGAAAGCTTCTTTTTAATAAACAAAACTGGTTAGCAGTTAACAATGCCATTATGGAAAGTTAACATCTAAGAAACAGTGCCTATTAAAAGAAATAAAGTGCCAAAATGTAAATAAAGCCCAAATGATGAAGTACACAGATAAAATGAGGGATTTCATATTCATGCAGACTCTACATCTGGATTGAGGAAGGTCAGCTATTTCAAGCTAATAAGGAAATCATGCCCTCAGAAGCCCTGAGACTGCGGCTTTGTTTAGATCTGTACTTTAATATTTAATTTCATATATTTCCTGAAGGAAACTGATTAATAATTGCAACCAGTGAAGCATGTACTTTAAAAGATTGACCCCCGCAAGCTGTTGTTTTTTGAAGATTAAAATAGTATCTTTTTTCTTATAAAACCAGTCACTGATGGGACATCTTTTTAACTTAGAGTTGAAAATAAACTGAAGCAAAATATAAGAGGTACCTAATTAACCACACGGTTTGCAGATTTCTTTTTTTAGGACAACAAAGCTGATTGTTGCACATTTTGACACTTTGAGATGATCCTAAAAAATATTAATTTGAAACTTTTATGCTTGTCAAAACTTTCTATTTAAAAAAAAAAATCTCAACCCACCAAAATTGTTAACTTTCAAACTCTAACTCATGTACATTTATCAAAGAAGGATCAAAGATAACAAAAACAACACCAAATACCATCTCTACTACAACAACCATTAACAAACTCTGGTGTGAACAAACAGTAGCTCCAGCTTAGTTTGGCAAATGAGCAGCTGCAGGTTATCCACAGAAAACCTAATCTTGAAGGACAATGAATAACTGAAATCTGATTAAGTAAAAATGTTTGAAGTAAAACACAGTGGTTTAACTTCTCCTCACTGCCATATTTAATTTAATTCTGTCCTTTATCCTACATGAAATCCTTATATGTCTTTATTACAGTCTTCTTCACATTTCAACCTTTTAATTCTTTATGGATGACAATAATTATTTCCAAGAGATTTGGCTTATAGTCAAATTTCCTATAAACATCTTCATATTATCAACCAAACTGAAAATGATAAAGGAGAATTAGTAAAAAGGAATACTCCTGCAAATTTAAATGAAATGTATGGAGAGCTTACGCACTTAGTATAGGCTAAATTTGCAAATTGTATTCTAAATAAAAATGCTCTCAAATATTTTTTAACTTACAATCAGATTTCCATTGGTAGAGAAAAGTCACTTTTAGAATGAAAAAGATGATTGGTCATTCCCATGTTTACTAAGAAGCAATTTAATCGATTTTTAAAATTTATACAAAGGATACATGGATTAGTTTTTTATTTTTTATTTTTTTTATTTTTTCAGGGTAGTAGTTGGGCTTCCATACAAAAAAATACTTAAACTGTCAAGAAATACCTTAAAACCCAAGAAACTTACATTAAAAATAAAAACTCTCCATCTTATCCTCAACTAGCAATTAGCAGTTTCACCACTAAGAAGAAAAATTATCACTGGATCCGCCAGAAGAATCTGAAGAGTAATATAAATAAAATTATTAATGGCTAAGAAATCCTCAATCTTTACATCACAGAAATTTCTTTCATTGAAGCCAGGGAGAAGTAAAAGCTGATGCTGAAATGCTTCGGATCGAATGAACCTTGACACAGTACTATAATCTGAGACCAATCACAGAGAAAAGATGAGCAGTGTGTCCAGGCATTTAGATGTGACACTCCTGGTTACGGCTTGCCGGGCTGAATTAGTATCAAATAAAACAACTATCCCAGGCCTTTTACACTCTGGCAACAAAGATCCCAAAGGAACTTAAACCTGTAAAGCAGATATTTGTCAGGAAGAATGCAGTCCTTCCCTAGTCACCTTGATAGGACAATGAAAACGAAATATTTAGCTATTATCAGCTGTGTCCTCACTGCTACTTGCTCCTTTTGAAAATGATTATAAAAGTAACTGGTCACTAGTTTCTGAAACTAATTGACACTACAAGCTGAATCTCCTGGCTTTCTTCTGAGAAGCAAACCCATAGCTATTTAGTAATGAGAATAACATTTCTAAAATTTTGCAATAAATCCCTCCTTCATTAAAAAAAAAAAGAAAAAGAAAAGATGTTAACCATAGAAGTTCTTGTTTGGAAGAGGGCCTGTTTAAATTATCTTTCTTTTTTTTTTTTAACTATGGATTTTCTGAAATTTCCCATAGAGGCACTCCCTCCTCAACACCTACTTTACGAGCCTTATTAAAACTTCAGGTTCTAGTGATGAGATATTGTAATAATGCAAATATAATAAGGGAAAAGGAATACTGTTCTCAAAATTATCTCCTGGTTCTAAACCATAGAGGCAGCTAGTCAGACCCTTTTTGTCTTTTTTTAAAGGAAACAGAAGAGTCAGCATTACTTTTTCTCAGAACACAACAGGAAAACAACCTCATACATAGATCATTTTGCTTCGCTTCATAACTGCTTCTCTTAAAACCACAGAAAATAATTAGGCAGACCTGGGTTCAAACCCTAAATTCTTCTATTTGTCTTTTGTCCTTAAACAAGTTCCTTTACTCCCATGGATTCCAGGTTTCTTGTCTGTAGCAGGTGTATGACAACCACCTTATGTAAATCTGGGAAGGATAATGTATCATAAAGACATAGCAATGGGCTTGGCACATAATATGCATGCAATAGCGGCAAACCTACACCCCCTTAGATACTGTAACTACGCCTGTGGTTACACACCAAATTTTTAAGTTTTAAAGTGCTCTCATGTATATTATCTAATTTGATTCTAGGAAGTAAAGAAGGGAGAAAGGGAGGGAGGAAGAAAGGAATGGATAGATAAGGTCAACAACTATTATCCCACTTAACAATTTAACAGATGAGGAAAAGTGACACAAAAGTTGGTATTACACCCAAGGTCACATAGTAATGACAGAGATTCGGATTTTAGAAATAATTTGGTCCAATCTGTTCTTTTAACAAATGAATAGACAATGTTCAGGTAGCTGTGAGAAAGTTAGAACGAAACTGGTGTGCTGCTTTTTAGGACAGTTGTTTTCTGACCACAGAGCATTGTTCTGTCACATGTTGGGTTCCAGCAGGAACGCGGGGAGCAGCACCATATAGAGAATCTATTCCACTGAGAACTTGGGAGAAAAAAGTTTCTTTCTTCTCTTTTCTTTTTTCTTTTCTTTTCTTTTCTTTCCTCCCTCTCTCCTTCCTTCCTTCCTTCCTCCCTCCCTCCCTTTTTTTTTTTTTTTAATGGAGTCTTGCTCTGTCACCCAAGCTGGAGTGCAGTGGCACAATCTCAGCTCACTGCAACCTCCGCCTCCCAGGTTCAAGAAATTCTCCCACCTCAGCCTCCCAAGTAGCAGCTGAGAATACAGGCATGCGCCACCACGTCCAGCTATTTTTTGTATTTTCAATAGAGACAGGGTTTCACCATGTTGGCCAAGCTGGTCTCGAACTCCTCACCTCAAGTGATATGTCTGCCTTGGACTCCCAAAGTGCTGGTGTTACAGGTGTAAGCCACTGTGCCCAGCCAAAATTTCTTTAACTCTTAGCTTAATGTTTCCTATACACACTACCCTGCTTGTATTTAGTTATCATAACTCAATGACTCTCTTCTATCAAGATAAAGCTTACTTTTCATGGGACTCTGTGATTCACCACAATGCTGTTTACTAACTGGAATCATCTCTACTATAATTAACAATTGTCTAAAATTGCTGATAAAGGGCACAGTTATCCACCCCCTCAAAGTTTTTTCTCAATCTGAACATTTTAACTAAAGTTTGTAATAATATTTTTAAATGTCTATTAAATATCTCATTTTATTCTTATGTAAATTGTACAGTTTCAACATTTTTCAGTTATATTTATGTTGTTTTAATTACTTACCTGAACATCCATTTCACTTACTTATAGAACTTTACATTAACACTATCCATAGAGCTTCTATTTAGAACATGTACATTTTGCTCGAAAATCTCATTTATCTTTTCCTGTAGGTGCATCTTTCAGTTTCCTTCTTTCCTATAACCTTAACCATGCACGTCAAAAAGTATTTAGTAATTGTACGATTGACATCTCAATATTTTCTTATTTCTGCATTCATTCCCCATAGGTCCAGCACCTCTGCCCTTACCTTAATCAGGGGCACGCAGGCTTGTTCAGGGCATTGACTAAACCATTGGCTGTAATAAACATAAATACATTTCTGCCTCTTCTGTCCTCCCTGAATAGGGACTGAAAAGAGAAAACGGAGCTCTTGCTGATACACTGACCTATGTATACATGGCCTTACAGCCTTCTTAGTTCCTCAGGTCCTGACCCAGTAAAAAACCTGCTAGATTGCTACTGTCTGACATGATCCTTGGTCTTAACTTTCTGCCTAACCTTGCATTCTTGCTGTCCATACCTACAAATGACACTTCGGCTCAGGAGACATCTCAAAAGCAGGCTTCATCAATTAGTATCCCTGAATTAGCTCGCCCGTCCCTCCCTCCCTGCCTCCCTCCCTCCCTCCCTCCCTTCCTTCCTTCTTTCCTCCCTTCCTTCCTTCCTCTCTTTGCTCCCTCCCACCCTCCATTTTCCCTTCCTTAATTTCATCTCAAAGCAAAATACGAAGAAATAAATAACAACTATGAACTTTACCTTGGCTTTCTCACATACTCACCATCTTGTTATTAATGTCTTTAAATGCATGTTTATACCTGTCTACAATATCAATTTTGTATTTTAACATTTTTCTTTTTACAATGGATAACTTTTCTATTTTGTTTCTTATAATCTTTTTGCTCCTTACAAAATCGTTTGCTGGGCCAAACTTTAGTTAGGCTTCTGAATTTTCTCCTAGGCCCATCTGTGCAATTCTTTGTCAAATACAGTTTTAGCAAATAACCCTGCTAAGTCTGACGGGCAAGAAACCCCCATCCTCAATATCTGATCATCTTTGATGTCTGATTAGGTTCCTCATCCTCTACCACTCCCCAGGTGATGTTTGATCATGCTGGCCTGTCTTCAGCAAAAATACCGTGGGGTCAGTTTAGCCAGAATCCTCCTTACCCTTGATGTTTCCTCTTAGATAATGTCTGTCCAATGACCTCTACCCCGCTCTTTTCCTATAAATTCCCAGTTGCCCATGCTGTATTGGGAGCTGAGTCCAATTTCTCTCCCCCATTGCAAAACCTTGCATTCCCTATACCTATTGCATTAATCCTAAATAAAGTATTCCCTATTGTGTTTTACCAAGTACCACTGGATATTTTATCTTCAATAATCCTCCTGTCATTGTCCCAGCTTATTATGTCCATAAATTATGCCTCCTAGTCTGTGAATGGTTTTGCTTTGAAAATTGACCTAGTATCCTTCCCACTGCTTTTCTCTGGAGTTAATAGTACCAAAAATACTTCCATTTACTAAACCAGCCTTCTTTCTGGAGAGCACTTAGGATAGTATGGTTGATGACACAGAGGGAAATGGTGGGGTTCCCCCCAGAGAACTTGGCCCTAAAACAAAGTACAAAATTGATGTCAGTGTTAAATTCATAAACCAGATACATGAAGATGAGATTAGAAATTGTGAAAGTAAGTCAACTCAAAGTGGTAGAAATATAAAATCTAAGAACAATACATTCAACAAATATTTACTGAGTATCTCTTATGTGCCAGGCACTGTTTTAGGTGCTTGGGATGCATCAGTAAACAAAACAGACAAAGGTGGAGGATTAAACAGAGTGGCAAACCAGACACTTAAAGGATGAGATTAAGCCAAGTGAGTATCTGGGCAAAAGTGTTCTAGGCAAAGGCATCTGAGTGCAGAGGCCTCTCCTGTGTTCCAGGAATAAGAAAAGCAATAAGAATGCCAGTGAGAAGGGCAGAGTGAGCAACAGAAACAGCTGGAGGAGATCTATCAGAGGAACAGAAAGATAAGGTGATGTCAGATAAGAGTGTAAGGGTAGGAGAAGATCAGGGAGGGCTAATGTTGACTACTGTAAAGAGTTTGACTTTTATTCTCTGTAAAACTGGAAGCTATCACAAGGTCCTTAGAGAGGTAACATACATGATCAAAATTAGGTATGACAGAATCACTTTGGCAGTTCAAGAGGAGCAAGGGTTGAGCAGAGACACAAGTTAGGCAACTAGTGTAATAGCAGATGAGAGATCAAAATAGCTGACCAGTGTGGAAGCAAGGAGAAGTGGTTGCTCTCTGGATACATCATTTGAAACATAATGCCATAGATTACATGAGGTATCAGAGAAAGAGCTTGGAATCAAGGATAACTGCAAGGTGTTTCTCCTGGAAATTGGAAGGATAGGGTTTCTATTCCCTAATATTGCTAAAATGTGGTTAGAGGAGATTTTATGAGGAATATCAGAAATTTAGTTTTGGGCATATGTGGTTTGAGAGATTCTTAGACATCCAAGGAGATATATATATATAGATGGGATCTTGCTCTGTCATCCAGGCTCAAGGGCCAAAGTGCAGTGACACAATAAAAGCTCATTACAACTTCTACATTGCAGGCTCAAGTCACCCTCTTTCCTCAGCCACCCGAGTAGCTATGACTACAGGCATGCACCACCATACCTGGCTAACATATTTTTGTAGAGACAAGGTCTCACAGTGTTTCCCAGGCTAGTCTTAAACTCCTGAGCTCAAGTGATCCTCCCATGTCGACCTCCCAAAGCTGAAATTACAGATGTGAGCCACGACACCCTGCCTGACTTCCAAGGGTTTATACAAGAGTCACTCTAAAAGACATTATCACTCTCTTCTCTCCTTCCCCTTTCTCCAGCTATACTCCTACCTCCCAATTAATACTTTCCTAGGGAAAATACTCTGCTTGGACCTTCCTGGTTCTGTTCACCCTGCATCCAACCTATAGAGGTGGTCAACGGAAAAACAGAAAATATATTGAAAAATTGCCAAAGATAAAATATATTTCATTGTTGAACGGATGCTAGAAGGAAGCCATAAAGTATAGCCTATGTCACAGAATTACAGACTTTTAAGAATCTTAGGCAGAATCTACAGCAACCTCTTATTTTATACTTGAGAAAGCTGAAGCCCAAGGATAAATGACTTTCAAAAGGTCAGTCATCTAGTTATTACAGAGCTCGAGCTAGAACCCAGAGCTCCTGTAAGCTGTTAGAGCATGCTGCCTCTCAGCTGATTTCCTGCTTTTGCTATAATTCATACACTGCAACATTCACATTCTATTTACATATTTTTACTTGGAAATACAATTAAATGCCAGACTTTTAGCATAGGGTCACCACTGTCCTGGCCTTGAAAACAAAACTTTGTCTTTTCCTTCCTTTCCTAATTAGATGTCTTTGGAGACCTTCAGTTAAACTCAAGATGAATACGACGGCTTATAAAATGTCAAGCAGATAGATTATTTACACCAGTAAGATAGTCTCAGATTTAAACCAGAGAAACTTTTTACTTCAAAAGCCATTTACATGAGTAGAGTTGGGCTATATAAAAATGATGACATTACAAGAGTTCCAAAAATTATTTATGGAGAGGGTAACGGACAATAAAAATTTAGAAAAACATTCTTTAAGATTTTGCAGCAGCTCTTTCTTCTACTACAGACTTAGCTGTAATTTCATATGGAAAGGCTTGCAATCAAATGAGAGATGCAATCTCGCCCAGGTAGGTAAGGTGAAATAGCTTTAATTATAACTTCCTAGCTATAGAAAATGAAAGATTATGGATTTGGTTATAATTTTTTAGCTTTCTTTCTGTATCTTCTTCAGAAAATTCTCCCAAAACCATTGATGTTTATTGGATCCACAGAAAAGGCACCAGATTCATGGGGAGCTGTAAATCCTTCTATTCAGTTCTGACAGTACAGAAATAGCCTGGACTTCTTTATGGTAATTAAATATTTAGCTTTACAATAAACTTTAAATAGAATTAGAACTTACTTTGGAACCTACTTTCAACCACGTTCTCTCATTACATTAATGAGTCAAATAGGGATTAATGGTGATTATATTTAATAGCAAATCAATATGTAAAATTTTTGAAGCTGTACATTTAAACACTCTGCCTTCGCCTTTCTGCTTTTCAAAGTTCTATCATGGCCTTCTCCTTTTCTCACAACATGCTTAACATGCAACTCACTCACCATATGATGCTGTTGCTCATTCTTCTCACCTGCCCTGAATGCTTCAAATCCCAACTCTCCATCCTCAAATAAATGGCTTTTACAAATTGCCCTTCTAAGCACAGGAAGGTGATTTATTGAAAATTTAATGTAGGCAGATAATCTACTGAGAAATTGACTTATGTTTTATTTCTAAGCTTTATCTCATTAGGAAAAAAAAAAAAGAGAGAGAGAGAGCGAGAGAGAACTTGTCCCATTTCCAAGAATGAAACAAGAAATTCTTCCTAAGGACTGAGCTCTGCTTATAAAAATGAGTGGGAAACAGATCTTTTTTGCTTCAGAACTAGAAAGGAGAATTTTTAGGTTAGAACAAGCTAAAGAGAACTTACTAAGCAGCCCCTTTTTTTCAAGGTTAAGGTTAGGCATTTCACACTTGGCTTACATGGTAATCTGTTTCCTGCCAAACTAAAGGCTTCTGTGACAGTCAAAACAGAGGTACTACTTTGGGGATTTTGTAAAAATCACCACCCTTGTATAGAGCTACATTGACAAGCCACAAGGACCAGTACTGAAAGTCTTATCATATGTGTGTGTACAGAGAAAAGATGAGTATTTGAGCTGAAATGAATTTCATTTAAACAAATATATACTATATTGCCTGCAAAAGTATTTTAAAAGAATGTAACCTGTTGCTTACAGATTATGCTCATAAATAGCACAAAGTAGAAAAAGAAAAACAAAAATGATATCAAGTCTCTGATGAAGTAAATAAGTAAAAGTCTATTTCCATTTTTGGAAGCTATGCATTTCCATCCATTGTTTTCTTATATCTAAAGTTTTAGTTTTGGTGTGTTTAAATTGAAAAGTATGTAACACTGGCGTCAAGATTAAGAAGAGCCAAATCACATATTTTTAGTGAAAATATGTTTAAAAGTGTCAATGACAGGGAAGAAAAATACCCAAAATACAACTTTGCTCTGTCCCAAATTATCTAAATCAGATGCTTAATTAAAAATTTATTTAGACTACTCAGTCTACTTTCAAAGTAAGTATTACAGAGCCACAGAGTACTGGCACAAAGGCTTAATCTTTTTACAGACTTTAAGTATATCCTGTTAAATTTGGCAGTTTTTAAAATGGATAGTCTTTCCAAAGCCTCCAGATCAAACATTGAGGCAAAATATGATGTGATAAGAGCATGGCATATGCAACAAGATGAAGAAAGGGCAGATAGAGATCAAAGATAGGCTTTGATAAACCAAATCAATATTAGGATATCACTGGAAATTTTTGGTCAGAAAAGTTATAAAACCAAAGGATAACCTTTTAAGGCTCCTTGATATCAAGACATGTACCTTTGTGCCCTTTCCCTGCAAAACCTATAAGAGCACTCGGTGATAATAAAGTTCAGTAAATTATATGTATTGAATTAATTTTTAGTGAAAATGAGCTGATGATAGTAATAATCAGCATTATTCTTAGCAGCCTAACCAGAATTTTGCATGGAGAGTTATACTGCCTCCAAAAGAAAAAGCTATATTAAATAATTTTCACACTTAGATCTTGTATTAGTCCATTCTCACACTCCTATAAAGACAAAACTGAGATTGAGTAATTTATAAAGAAAAGAGGTTTAATTGACTCACAGTTTTATTGCTGAGCAGTCCTCAGGAAACTTACAATCATGGCAGAAGAGGAAGCAGGCACGGCTTACATGGTGGCAGATGAGAGAGAGTGAGCAAGAGCAGGGAAAACTGCCTTATAAAACCCTCAGATCTCATGAGAACTCACTCACTATCACGAGAACAGCATCAGGGAACCACCCCCATGATCCAATCACCTCCCTTCTGGTCCCTCCTTCGACATGGGGATTATGGGGATTACAATTCAAAATGAAATTTGGGTGGGGACACAGAGCCCAACTATATCAGATCCCCTGCTCAAAAGCTTTTTGATGCAGAAACTTTTCCCATATTAAGTATTTTTTATTATCAAAAGAAGTTCTTACAGTCTACCTTCTTAATTTATAGTTGGTAATTCCTCTTTCGGAAAAGATAAGGGAATAACGAGGAACTACATTTACATTACCATTTATACAAAATAGATGTAACATGAGATTTTTTCAAATTGTACATGTATTAAACATTGCAAGGACACATAAGATCTTACCATATTATAAAGTCTTATCTTAAATGTTTGGAGATGTCACCCATTTTGCAACCCATATCGGTGGTGGTCCAAGTCATGCTATAATGAAAAGGTCAAAGGCCATCAGAGAGGCAAATTTATAACAATTTCCTTCCTCACATGTATTATCTTTATTACATATACAGAATAAGTTTTGTTATGAAGAGAGGAAGGGTGCCTTCTTTGGCAAGAGAATGAAGAAAAAAATTGTGCACAGAGCACAAAATCTTTCCAAAAATGGCCATTTAAAAGGTAGGCTTCATACAGAGCTCAATCTTTTTCCTTATATGAAGCACTGAACATGCTAACCTGACTTATTCCAGTTTGTAAAATACCATTAATATCAATCCAAAATAAAGCACAATAGGAAGGGTCACACTATAAAGATCAACGAATGCCACCTGTGGCCTGTAAGGGTTTCTCTTTCTCTCTATTTTAAAGTATCTGACCTATGCCACAGAACAGCTTCTGCTGTTAGAGTCAATATTAAGTTTACAATGTATGCATTTTGTGCACAATGCAATGCTAAGCAATGTAGGTAGTAAAAAAAGAAAATATTTGCATATAGTTGTGAAAACATAACTTACTTGTATGAAATATCCAGAGATTTGTACAAGATAGCATATTATCAAATACTTTACAGAAGAGTACAGCCTGCACATAGTTCGAAATTCACTGGTTACAAACCTTAGGCAAGGCTGACTTCTGCAGTAGTTGGGTTTGAAGGTAGCCTTAACAAAACAACTGCATTCACAAAGGGAAATTAGGTAGAGATTTTCGGGCAAGAGAAATTGATGAGCAAGTGCATCAGGGTAGACTTAGGTATTTTCTGTACATTAGCAGTATCAGCAATATTGCTGATATTAAGCTGATTAAAAACACAAGATTCATGTCAGGAGAAAGAAAGAAAACTGATTAGACAAAAAAAAAGGAAACCTTAAATTGAAGTCATTAAAGCACCAAAATCTGAAAAGTTTGAATTCAGTGCAAGAGACAATGATGACTGCTTATCCCATGTACCACCAACAGATCATTTTAGTTTCACATCAATCCAATGCAGATTTATGCATTGAAAATAAAAACAAAACCCCTAAATCTCTGTTAGACTTACCTATGAGTAAAAAAGGAGAGAGAAAAATAATTCTAACCACAAGGAGCATCCTAATGACAACTTCGAGAGGATTTTTCAAGGTCATCACCATCTGTACTGACACATCTTATTCACCTGTTATACACACCTTGCTAATTCCTAATAAGTATTTTTGCTCTTGTAGTTAATTTCTATCAGAATATTCTGTCTCTGTGTCAGTTTTTTCACACCATACCCATCCATCAAATTCTAGTTTATATCTCCTTTTGTTCCAGCATGTTATCAGAATCACCTCACCTCCACCATACTCCAATTTTCTGAACACCCATAATACCTTCAAAACTCACTGAAGACAATGATTATACTTGCTGTCAATTACAGACTGAACTGTGTCCCTCCAAACTTCATATGATGAAGCTGCAACCCCCGATGTGGCTGTATTGAGAGATAGGTCCTTTAAAGAGATAATTAAAGTCAAATGAAGTTATAAAGGTGGGTCCATAATCCAACAGAACTCATATCCTTATAAGAGGAGACAGAGGCACCATCAGTATACTTAGGACTGTCTGAAAGCAGAGAGGCCTCAGGAGAAACCAAACCAGCTGGTGCTTTGATCTTGGACTTCCAGCCTCCAGAACTGTGAGAAATAATTTTTTTTTTTTGTTTAAGTCATCTGGTTTGTTATGGCAGGCCTGGCAAAATAATATACTGCCTGTATTTAGTAAATAATGATCTTTTCTTCCTTCTTTGACTCTGATCCTCTGGAGTGCATGAATCAAAATTACCTAATTTCTAAAAATCTCTTACAATGCTAGGAATAGTTTATTTATTGCAATAACATAAGATTATTGCATGTAGGTATACATAAATAAACAAATAAATTCAAATTCTTATAGACGAAAGTATTCTTTAGGAAGATTTAAACTACTGATGGGATAGGAGGGTAAAAATCACTTAAAATACCAGTATAAAACAGGAAAAGCACATTGTAATGAAAATAATTTTGACTTGGGAGTCATAAAATCCTGAATTTGAATCCTGGCTCCTTCAATTAGTAACTGTATATATTGGTCTTCAGTTTCATCATTTAAAAATTTGGATAATAACATTTACTTTTCAATATTATTAGAGGTGAAAGAGGCTTAAGCACTGATTTTAATTTCTGGTGGCACTTGCTTAATAAATGTTAGTTATTTTGATGATTTTGAGTATTCACTTAGAAAAAGAATAAATTAGTGAAAAAAAATTAACCTGAAAAAGGGTGAATGTATTACAAGAGATCTGAAGGAGCTCATGAAATATGGAGGATGGGAAAATAAAGAGCTTACTATGGGAAAACAAAAGGATTGCAAAGCAGTACTGAAAAGCACAGCTCAGCCTGGAAGTCTAACTTTTTAATAATACCTATGCACATGGTCACATAGCTTGTCACTCCCGCAACCCCAGTAACGCTAACCAGCCTGGAAATAATAAGACAAGAGAGAGAAAGACTGGATTCACATGGAGCTTGCGATTAGTCTGGAGAGTATGGTAAAAGAAAAATAATAACGATATAGAGAGAATGAGAGTGCTACTAAGAATTTCTGTGAAATAGATCCTTAGTTCATCCTGGATAAAAAAATCCAAGAAGTTGCCAATAGCAAGAAATGATGAGGAAATGGAAATTGTGGTTGTTTTCATGCTCCCATTTTACTATGTTATTTCTTGACTTATCTAATATTATGGCTTCCCCAAATTCTACATGTGATTATACCCCAACAGTGGGCCAGACTGGGCCCCTTTACCCTGATTAATCACGTTTCAATTAAATCATGGTTACAGGATTTCAATTTTATGATCACATCATTTCTCACCTAACATGATATACTACTGCCGGACATATGATCATTCAAAGTATTTATTTATGATTTAGCATTCCTGTTACAATGTCTCCAGATTTTATGTTTATAAAGAACCTAACATTTGCTATTATCCTTATAGTAGCTACACTCTCAGCAGTGTAACTATAGTTTACATGATGTTAAAGGCATACCTAGGGGAGCACACATTATTTCATGACTTTGTAAAAAATGTTGTAATTATATAATCACCAGGGATAGCATTCCTTATGCTCAGGGAGTATATTACATCTCAGTAGTTTTCCATTAGAGCATTAGTCATATGGGGTTGGCATAAAAAATTAGGTGCCCTCCCTCAATTCAAGGTTAACACATAGGAATCACACAATTCATACTCCCATCGAGACTGGTTTGTCCTTTCTAATAACTTTTTCTCATCTAAATGTGTTATTTGATATTCCAGGAGCTCTTGCCTCTAAACTATAACACTTTAAATGCTCCTTACTATACAAGATTAGAGAAAACAAAGATGGATTCGATGTTCTCTATTTAGGTATAAATTAATTATGTAAATTTACTCAGGAGATAGAGGCATTATAATTTACAAAGAATTTACATGGAAGATTTAGAAGTTATATCAAGTGGAAGTTACTCAGAAATACTAAATAACAACAAATTTCGATGACGACATGGTTTCTGTTGCATGAATTTCCTCACAGAAGATACAGACAGTCCCCTAGTTATGATGGTTTGACTTATGCTTTTTCTGCTTTATGATGATGCAAATCAATATATATTCAGATATTCAGGGGAAAGCGTACTTCAAATTCTGAATTTTGATCTTTTCCCAGGCTAGTAGTATGTAGTAAAATACTCTCTCATGATGCTGGGCCAAATCATCTAACACAAAGCCTGTCTTATAATAAAGTGCTGAATATCTCATGTAATTTTCTTTTTTTCTGAGACAGAGTCTCACTCTGTCACTCAGGCTGAAGTGCAGTGGCATGATCCCAGCTCATTGCACCCCCCCACCTCCCAGGTTCAAGTGATTCTCCTGCCTCAGTCTCCAGAGTGGCTGAGACTACAGGCACACACCAGCACGCCCAGCTAATTTTTGTATTTTTAGTAGAGATGGGGTTTCACCGTATTGGCCAGGCTAGTCTTGAAGTCCTGACTTCAGGTGATCCACCCACATCTGCCTCTCAAAGCACTGGGATTATGGCATGAGCCACTGTACCTGGCCTCATTTAATTATTGAATACTCTACTGAAAGTGTTCTGGCACATTTAACACTGGCTGGGTAATTACAATGCCAGTAGATTAGGTGTAGTAGAGGTATTTTTGACTTAACAATATTTTCAACTTAAAATGGGGTTATGGAGAGGTAGCCCCATTGTAAATCAAGGAATAGCTCTATATGTATGTTAGAGAGCTTCAATGAAAAAGCAAGTGCAGGAGAGGAGGGTCATTTCTTCATAGTCTGGACAGATATAATTCAAGAAGAATGATTAAATTTACTAGCATATTGACTGGATTTCTTCATTCTTTCCCCTAAAAGTGTTTTAATGTTACTCATTTGAACATACACCTAGATACTTATCAAAGCTGAAGAATAGTATAGTTTATATAATGTATCTCATATATACAATGTTATGGGTTTTCTTTTGATAATTTTTAATTAAAGTTACTAAAGCAAAAATGTTTCTTCTTTTCTTTGCTTTTCTTTTCTTTTCTTTCTGTTTTCTTTTGGAGGCAGCGTCTCCCTCTGTTACCCAGGTGGGAGCTGAAGTGCCGCAGTGGCGCCATCATAGCTCACTGCATCCTTGAACTTCTGGCCTCAAGTGATCCTCCCACCTCACCTCCCCCTCAAGTAGTTAAGACCACAGGCCCATGCCACCATGTATGGCTTTCATAGCTTTCTCAGATAACTGTGGATAGTCTTCTTTGACAGCATACCAAATTTTGACTAGTGTCAGTTGCCAAAAGTGCAGTTACAACATGGATTCTGAAACCATAGCAATGGGCTTTCCATACTGTTACATTTTAAACCACTCCTGTAGCTTGCACTTTGAATATCTGTTTTACCATGCACAGTTTTGTAACATCCTATATTGGACATGTGTAAAATATTGGTCCTCCCAGTCATACTAATTTTTGAAATGTTGACAAGTTTCATTATATAACGCCTATATAGAAAACACATCTTCAACATCACCACCAATATTATCAAAAAAGTCCTTGAATATTGGAAAGTTGCAAAACCTGTAGTAGTGGCTGTGACAGGCTAATTTCATTTTTCATAAAATGTCTGCCAAATGCCCACATCTGAATAACCATAGTTGACATGTCAGTTGTTCTTCCAAGAAAATATGGTATTGCATTAAAAAAATGGCTGGTTCAGTTTGTCAACTGAACAAGGGCACAAGTGTTTTACTCTTGAGACAATAAGTGTACTTTCATATGAAGCAGAAGTACTCTACGTATATTTCCCATTTTGTCACACAAAATATTAAGATACTAAAATCTCAAAGGTTGAGATTTTATAAAATTAATAACTTTTGCTGCATCCACATTCTTAAGTGAAACTAGTTTGTAATTTTTAAACAATGAATATGTGGAGATGAAGAATAGAACAGTTTTGTACCACTGCTTTCAATTGTCTAAGGCACCTTTACCCACTATTGCTTTGTAGCATCACTACAAATATCAATAGAATGAAAAAGGCAAACAATGTATTAGAATATTATTTAAATAGTTTAACATTATGGATCCTTTAAAAGTATCTCAGAGACCCCCATAGGTCTATGGCCCACAGTTTGAGCATTCCTGTGCCCTTTCTTGAGCTATAGACCCATATGTTTGATGGTCTACTAGACGCCCTATAGATAGTCTTATTTCAAGAATCTTAACCGATTCTTGGTCACATTTCCTTCTTTTCCCCAAGCTCTTCTTTCATTTCCTATCTCAGACACCATTATTTTCCATGTCATTTAAGTAAAGAACCTAGGAGTCACTATTGCTTTTTCCTTTCTCTATAATCCCTTGCATCTAATTAGTCACTCAGTACAATCTCTTACATATTTTCATTTCTGCCTAACACAAAGATTGAGTTACTAAAAGCCTGCGGCATAAACAAACTTCCCTATAACTCATTTCCTTCCTTAGTCTCCTCCTCCCATTCAGTCTCCATTGTCCTACTGTAGGTAGGTTTTGAAGAAGCAAATCTAAATGGCGCAATATTCAGAGACGAAGGCTCTGTTTCACACAGCCAGGGTCTCAATTCCCACTTTCACCCCTTCCCAGATGAGTAACCTTAGCAAATTACTCAGGCTGTGTGTTATAGTTTGCCTAAAAAAAAAAAAAAAAAAAAAAAAAGTAAAAGTATTTATCTCACATTGTTACAAAAATAGAATCAGAAATTCATATACAGTATTATCTAAATGAATTTGTATAGGGTTAATACAAGCCTGAAATCTAGCACACAATTAATAAATATTACTGATTATTATTTTGTCAATTCGCTCCTGAAAATTTTCTGCCATTTCTATTGTAAATGTTATCTGACATGTCTTTCTCACTCCTAGAATATGATCTTCTTAACTTTAACTTATATTCACTTATTTCAATATCTGAAATATAGGTGATGTTTAATAATGATTATCAGTAACTAATGAGAATTTTTCTCTAAATTATCTACAAATGTAGACTGACTTAGTTTTATTACTGTTTGCATTTTTCAGTCATATTTCTCAATTTTTAAAAATCCTACCTAATTACCAGTTTAAAATACATTGTAATATTTTAACACATGTAAGCTAAATTGTATAACAAGATTACCCTGCTAACATATTGTCCCTAGGTTGGCAAAATTCTAAGCTCACTTTTTAAAACACATTTCTTCTAAGGACTCGTATAACAGTAAAAGTCTTAACCTTCCCATAAGTAGGCTTTATGAAGGATAGGGATGCTCTATAAAATTCATGAAAATATATGCAATGTTTCATGAATGTTGTGTGTGTGTGTGTGTGTGTGTGTGTGTGTGTGTGTGTATGTATGTGTGTATATATATTTGTATATATGTATGTGTGTATATGTGCATGTATTCATATATATGTATGTATTCATATATATGTATGTATATACATACATATGTATGTATTTGGGAAAAATATATATGTATGTATTTGGGAAAACTATTGCT
Organism: Homo sapiens; assembly: GCF_000001405.40. Taxonomy (NCBI): domain Eukaryota; kingdom Metazoa; phylum Chordata; class Mammalia; order Primates; family Hominidae; genus Homo; species Homo sapiens. The sequence continues at coordinate 120,352,307 of NC_000007.14, read as the reverse complement.
TCCTTCGGATTTTAAAAGAAATCTTTGATATAGACAGGGTTAATGACCACTGTTACAGAAAACAGAAGAGAGGGCCCAGCCTGGTGGCTCATGCCTGTAATCCCAGCACTTTGGGAGGCTGAGGTGGGTTGATCATGAGGTCAAGAGATCGAGACCATCCTGGCCAACATGGTGAAACCCCAGTTCCACTAAAAATATAAAAATTAGGTGGGTGTGTTGGTGCACGCCTATAGTCCCAGCTACTTGGGAGGCTGAGGAGCACGAGGTCAAGAGATTGAGACCATCCTGGCCAACATGGTGAAACCCTGTCTCTACTGAAAATACAAAAATTAGCTTGGTGTGGTGGTGCATGCCCGCAGTCCCAGCTACTTGGGAGGCTGAGGCAGGAGAATTGCTTGAACCCGGGAGGCAGAGGTTTGCAGTGAGCTGAGATCGTGCCACTGCACTCCAGCCTGGTGACAGAATGAGACACTGTCTCAAAAAGAAAAAAAAAGAAAGAAAGAAAAGAAAAAAAAGAAAAAGAAAAGAAAAGAAAATAGCAGAGAATATAGTATATAGTGCCAGGAGATGGCAGGGTCCATGACAGACTGGAGGAGATATATTTTTCAGCATGGACATTTTTTGAACATGTCAAATCACACAATGAAGGCAACTGCCTACCAGGTCTACATTTATATAAACGTTGAAAATAAATTATATGAAGTCCCCAACTCTGAACCTGCATATCTGACCCCTGAACAAGAGCCAATAAATAACAACATTAAATCACACTGTCAATTTTACTGCATGCTTCTTCCTGGTGCACATTGTGTTTGTTGTCAACACTGCTGGGGACTTAGTAAGAGCCTGTAATGATTATAACCTTGCAATGTGAGAGAGAGAGAGAGAGAGAGAGTGTGTGTGTGTGTGTGTGTGTGTGTGTGTGTGTGTGTGTGTGTGTGTATGCTCTTCGATTTTTTTGAGATGATCCCATTTAAACTAATGATTAATTTTTTAAAAATTGTATGATACATAATATATAACCTGAAATAATATACTGGATATATATATATATATATATATACACACATATAAATATATAATATGATGGTATTGTCATACAGTATAAAATATAAAATATAATTTGCAATATAAAATGAAGTTTAATATATAATGCACAATACAAAATATATAATAAGCTTTCTACAACTTTGTGATTCTTCTATGGTAATAAAATAATCTACATATTTAATGTAGATAATAATTCTATAAGGTTTTAACCAAAAAAACCCACTTGATTAAGTAATTCTCTGTAAAAAATTAAAAGGCATTTATATTTCAATAACTACACTTAAAACTTTTTATAACAAACATTCAATAGAGATGTCAGTTTAAGATAGATTTTTCTTTAGACTTATTTTTGTGTTTCAGTTTATAAGTAATTTCATGTTTAAATATATCCAGTGGACCTGGTTGTCAAAATAGAAGTATGACTGGAAACACAACTTAGAAGTTGGCAATTGATTTCACTTGCTGTGGATGTTAACAATTGTTCAGTTATAGGCTATCATGGGAACAGAAATCTGTCCTTAGGTTGAAATTGACTAAGGAGCTGTGTTAGAAATAACATAGATGTGCTATAAGCAAAATATTCTGAAATCAAATGCACTGATTAAAAATTCACAGGGTTATCTTTAAATTCACTACTGAAAATAGTCATTGTACTGAAATAATACATATCAACTTTTCCATCTTTATTATGTGCTCTTGTCTGCTTTATAAAAATCAGAAAATTAAATGCAATGTATTTCCATTAGTGCACTGTTAAAGCTGTAAATTTAAAAACAAATCATAGGATATGAAAGTTAAGATCCTCTTAGTAACATTAACTTGTCCAACATTGATTATATATAATTCCTGGATTGCTGGTTAGTGTGCTAAATGTACACTTTATTATAAGGCATAAGAAATGTAGGAAAATTAATGCTGTTATGAAAACCTTAACTTTTCACTTTCTTGAGTTATGAAGGTTAAAATTTGCAATCTTAACACTGTATTAGCATAGGATTCTGCAATTTAATAAAATAAACTTGTTGAGAAAATGAACTATATTCACTCAATAAAAATGATGTCTGCTTTCCTGAATGAAACACTTATAGAATCTGAATTTAAAGGCAGCAGATAAAAACTTGAATGATTTCATAGTTTTCATAAACCCTGATACATTTACCTCACAAAGTGATATTATTATATGTCTGAAAAATCTGTAAAACATTCTTTATGTTATATAAAGTTATAAAAGTCTTATCCAATAAATAACATAGACACATTCATTTATTATATAGTATATATACATATCAAAAATAATTAATTCAATTAATTCAACTACATTGCATTCACAAAGGAACTTAAAAGATACTAAAGAGAATAAGTAGTAAAAATCATTAAGATTTCATTGTTCTTATTACATCTGCAGTGGACTAAAGTAAAAGGGTTAACAGACAGCAAAACAGTAACATAAATGAATAAGATGAATAAGAAAATTAACAAAATTAAAGATCCAAGGGGGCCAGAGTCCTTTTACATTTTGTTCAGTGACACATAAAAGATATCTGGACTATAACAGGGGCTCAAAAAACATTTGTGTAATGAATTAACTTGCATGGTATCTTCAATAACACAAAAATTCAAAAGCTCCCTTAATTGATAGTGAGATTCTCTGAGAAAGATTTAGCAGCAGGTCAAATCTGAATTATCAGCATGAATGCTATTTACTCCAGGAAAAAAAAATTCCAAAATTGAATGTGGTCTGCAATGAAAATCCATGCAAGGATATTATCAGAAACTCTAGTAATAGTAGTTCAGGACATTTTACTAATAATTTATCTCACTGGGTTAAACAACAAAGACAGGTGCATTAATTCCAGAAAGACATTGTTAAAATGCTCACATTCCCTAGGAAAGCATCCTCGTGTGTCTGTGTGTGTGTGTGTGTGTGTGTTTGTGTGTGTGTGTGTGTTTGTGTGTGTGTATAGCAGCTTAGATGTGGTGGCAATGGTGGTGGTCTCATGTCCGTCTCACTACTTCAGATGTCCATCTAATCAGCCACATAAAGGCATCAGAAAAGCATGGTGAGTCTTCCATAGTGGATGTAGAAGAGCAAAAGTTAATTTCTTTGTAGAATTAAGAAAGTGGCAATTGCAAGTAGTATAAGTTTCCCATATTTATGAGGGGTGGTAAGATATTAATGGAGTGTAATGGTATTAGTTCTGTAGTGAGCTAACTAAAATTATTCTTGGGAAGCTATACCACAGATAGATATGTAAACAAGTTCATTCATATATTCAGAAAATATTATTTGGTATATTATTATGAGCCCCCTAGGTAAGCTACTTATGTGCAAATCCTACTCTACTGCCAGTGAAATGCTGATGAGTAAGACATGACACCTACCTACTAAGGACATTATAATAAAATACAGAAATTAAGTAGCAACAGTAAAACAAATACTTTTACTATATAAATTTAGAAATACAGAATATTCTTTTTCTAAAAGTAAAGATATGAATAATCCCTAAAAACATATTCAATAATGGCTGCAGCAGCCTATCTTACAGTACAGCAGGAAACCATCATGAGGTCATAGCTTTCCTTTTGATGAGAATGTGTTTGCTCACAAAGAAGTTGTAATGTATGTTTCAATCAGACTTCATAGAGCATAGAGTAATTTGACTATGTGAATCCCTATTTGTATCAGAGAAACAATTGCTTAGCTATGTTGCATGTATAAAGGTAGTTAGTGTTCCTGTCTTAGATAAGATGATGTAGCCTTTGTCAAGATATATAGCATCTTTGTCAAGGTACATGTGCCCACCTTGGTTCTAAATTGATAGTCTTGTCAATATTTTAATATCATTTGAACAACAAAATAATCATGATAGGCTTTCATAAAAACAATCAAAAATGACTGCTTAAAGTTCTATCATGAAAGGGCTTCAAGTCAACTCAGCCTCCCCAGAAACCATGCCTCTATCAGCTTGTTTAGGGAGGAAAACTAACCAGATTCATCTATAACAATAACTATTCTGTTAAACGGTGGGTTGTAGGGCAACTAAGAGATTTATCTATGATATTTGGAATCAAAGAGATAGCATTATAGCGTATCTGATGATTCCCTGTTTATATCTGCAATGGACTGAATGTTTGTGTCTCACCATAATTCATATGTTGACATCCTAACCCCCAATGTGATGGTATTAGATGGTGCAGTCTCTGGGAGGAAATTAGTTTATGAGAGTGGAGCCCTTATAAATGAGTTTAGCGCCTTCCTGAAAGAGATCCCAGAGAGTTCCTGCTCTCTTTCCACCATGTGATGATGCACTAGGATTTAAGCAGTCTGAAACCTGGAAGAGGTCCCTCACCATGCTGGCACCCTCATCTCAGACTTCTAGCCTGCAGAACTGGGAGAAATAAATTTCTTTATAAACCACTCTGTCTACGGTTCTTTGTTATAGTAGCCTGAACAGACTACAATAATCTTTATCTGAAAAATGCAGCTTTTTTTTTTTTTTGAGACAGAGTTTCACATTTTTTGCCCAGGCTGGAGTGTGATGGTGTGATCTCTCCTCACTGCAACCTCTGCCTCCTGGGTTCAACCAATTCTCCTGCCTCAGCCTCCCAAGTAGCTGGGATTACAGGCGCACGACACCATGCCCAGATAATTTTGTGTTTTTAGTAGAGACGGGGTTTCACCATGTTGGCCAGGCTGGTCTCGAACTCCTAACCTCAGGTGATCCACCCGCCTCAGCCTCCCAAAGTGCTGGGGTTACAGGCTTGAGCTACCGCACCCGGCCTGAAAAATGTACCTCTTACTGTCAAACATGAGCGCTTCCTTCTTGAGATTACTTAGCTCCTTAATGCAGTTCTATTTAGTTTTCATTTACACATAAGTAGCATGCCCAGATGCAGAAGTTTAAGAGCTGGGTTAGAATAGGGCCTGTTTATTATCATAACTATATATACACAGTCTGAAACCTGTTCTGAATACTTAAGTAGTTAAGGGCTAAAGACCCTGCTTATAGGTATGACAACTATTTACTGGAAGACAAAAACAGAAAAGAAATAAAAAGAAAGGCATCAAAGTGACAGCCCATACAGATCACAAAAGTAAGATAACATTTTTTGAGCTTAAACCCTTTTAGAAGTAACTTATTCAAAACAGCGTGAAGATCTGGCTTAACTGTTAAGGTAAATGTTGCTCATATTACAGCTTCGAACAAAAAAAAAAGAGCCATGAGACATTGAAGGCTAGCAAACATATTTTACCCAATTTTATTGTCCTCCCATTAGACTATAATCCCTTAGAGGGAAGGAACTATGTGGGAAGTAACCTCTCACATCCTCCTCTTTTCCAGAGCAGAGAACAAAATAGCACTTAGTATGTGCTACAAAAATGACAGCTGTTATTAATAATTCTTTTCATGTCAATCAGTGGAATGTCTAAAAGAAGCTTCTGTCACATTTTTCATCAAGGCACTGTGCTACATTACCTAACAAGAAGGTCAAGACACTGGTAAAGGAAGAGCAATATAAAGGGATTTAGAGAAAGAGACAGAGAGAAGAGGAGAAAGAGAGAGAAAGAGACAGAGAGAGAGAGAGAGGAGAGAAGAGAAAATTGAAAAAGAGAAAAAGCAAAACAAATTAAAGAGACTACTAAATTTAGACATAAATATACAGTTTTCTCATTTTCTGAAAAGTTAATCGTTTATTTAAAATGTCTTTGTTTTTATTATGTCAAGAAGCACCAAAATCTGTCCTGGGCTTATGGACTTAAAGCTCCTAACCTTATCCTTGCCAAAATGAGCATTAATAGCTAATATTTTAAAATAGAAATGAATATAATTAGTAACTCATACTTCCATTTTCTTTCCCAGGACAATGACTTATCTTCCCTATTCCATGAATCTCAAATACTGTAATGGATTTTCTATGAACTCACTCAAGGCAAAAAATTTTGAGAGACACATTCAACAAAGTGAAAAGGCAACCTATAAAATGGGAGAAAATATTTGCAAATCATTACATCTAATAAGGGGTTAATATCCAGGATATATAAAGGATCCCTGCAGCTCAACAACAAAATAACACAATTAAAAAATGGCCAAAGGGTCTCAACAGATATTTCAACAAAGATATACAAATGGCCAAGAAGCATATGAAAAGATGTTCAATATCACTAATTATTAGGAAAATGCATATCAAAACCATAATGAGATATCATCTTACCTATCAGGATGGCCACTGTCAGAAAAACATAAAATAACAAGTGTTGGTGAGTATGTAGAAAAACCAGAACTCTGTTCTGTTGCTGGAAATGTGAAATGGTGCAATCATTATGGAAAATAGTATGATGCTTCCTCAAAAAAATTAAAAATAAAATTACCATATGATGTAGCAATTCAACTTCTGTGTATATATTCAAAAGGATTAAAAACAAGATCTCGAAGAGATGTTTGTGCAGTTATGTTCATAGCAGCATTATTCACCATCACCAAAATGTGAAAGCAACCCTGTGTCCATCTATGGATAAATGTATAAACAAAATGTATAAAATACTATTCAACCTTTCAAAGAAAGGAAATTTTGACACATGCTACAACAAGAATAATCCTTGAGGATTTTATACTAAGTGAAATAAGCTAGTCCACTTGTATGAGAGACCTAGTCAAATTCATAGAAACAGAAAAAGTGGAATGGTGGTTGCCAGGGAGTCGGGGAGGAGGAAACGGGATGCTGTTGCTTAATAGGTACAGAGTTTCGGTTTTGTAAGGTGACAAATTTCTAGAGGTCGGTTGCACATCAATGTGAACATATGTAACTTTAAACTGGTTAAGGTAGTAAATTTTATGCTACATAGATGTTACCACAATTTTTTTTCATCTAGACTTTCACTTTAAAAAATTACTTTTTGACAAATGTCTTAATCGTACTAGTTATGTGATGAACAGACATACCACCAGAAGAACACTATATGATCAATTACATTCAAACGGAGTTGAAGGGACCAATTAACCACTCATTTCTCAAATTTCAGTATTTTTAATCAAACAAGTTATCCTACATTTTAGGCACCTGGACTATATTGTTTTGGCTCTCTGAAGGAATTCTCTATGAATGTCTGCATAAAATTATACATTGTGGGTGTTTTGTTTTCAGATTAGAGTAAGTTCTTCTCATTTCTTTTTTAATCCTTGATCTACACTCATACTTTAAGATCAGTTCAACGCTCTTCCCCTATGAGGGCTTCTCTCTTTGACCTTGCTGACCACTTTTTCCTTTGGGCCACCATTTTGTCTTGCAAGGAACTTATTTATTGCATTTATTGTCCAATTAAGTTTATCCCAGCTGTGAGCTCCTTAAGGGTAAGGATGCTCCTTATTCATCTATGTGTCCAAAGAACTCAGTAGAGAACTAGGCAAGAAATAGAAGTTCAGTATTTATTTATGGGATGATGTTGAAGTCATGTCTTGTAAAACTGCCTTATTAAAGAATTGCAAAATAAGTTCCTCTCAGAGATCAGAACTGTGAAGACGAAAGAAAGAAAAAGCCCACACACTCCTTCTTTTTACCAAATAATATGAGCATAATTTTATTTTTCTTTGTTGACTTGAGTGCCAAGAAGCTAAATGCCAAAAGTTTGTCCTAAATAAAAGTTTACCTCTAGTGTTAGTAATCTAGTACGATTAATGTGGTACTATTGCACCATTACCCCATCCTATCTTATCCTTCAGTCGGTGCTATTGCAACATTATCTTCTTATAAACGGCCTCAAGCCTATTTTGGAAGGAAGTGGGCTATGATTAAAATATGTAAAATATGCAATATGAGGCTAAATATGAAGGTGCTGGTTTAAAGCTGTTCTCTTTAGTTGTTTTTCTTTGTTCCACGAATAATGTTTCCCACATTTCAGTAGAATCCTAAGCAGCTGTGCTCTCATTACTACAATATCTGTTCTTTTATGTGTTATCTTGTCTGGTTCAGTTCTGAGTAGGCGGTACAGTCTATTCCCCACAATTTGTTTTCTAATGTATATCCACTTGTGTGTCATATTATTATTTTTATCTTAAACTGTGGCTAAAATAAGCTATTTTTCAAAGTAATAAGAATCTAGTCCAGATCCTTTCTATGTACAATATACACACTTCGGTTGCTATAACTATGACAATAGGAAATAGGATTCCTTTCTTAACAATTTTGAACCTCATAATTTAGGAGAACTGTATATAGATCTAGATTTAAGATCATCTATGATTCCTTGGAAAAATCATCTGACTGCTTTGAACTGCATTAGCTCGAAAGTTCTTTGCAGTCGTAAAGACTTTATGGATCTATCAGTGATGTCTAGAATGATAGTTGTGGTGCTAAACCTTTTCATGGCAATAAGCATAAAGGCTCATTTGCAAGTGCACATGCATATGATTATATAGTGCTTTCCATAAACAGAAGCAACCCTGAATATCATGTGAAAATAGTGTTCCATTCTGGGTAATATAAAATAAAAAATTCGAACTGTAGAACTTAGTATTATAAATGCATTTGCTATAAACCTCTTAATTAAATGTATCACCAACATGATTTTACTTATGGCTTAAAATAACATAACTGAAAAGATAGTTTCCAAATAATAACACAACTTCTCATCCTGATATCCAAGATAGACCCTGGTCTGGTCCCACTTACCTTTGCTATCTGCATATGAGGATTTCCTTCACTAATAAAAGCCTATTTCCTCTTCAGACTAATTACATTGTTGGAATATACTACAGATTAATTCCTGCTCCATAAAAAATGTATTCCAGCCTTTTGTGACAAACCACATTGATGTGTCGTTTAAGGTCTACTCTGATAGTCCACCAAAGTGAAGCATTACCTGGCTATCTCATAGTCAGGTAGCTTAAAATGTTCTACCCATTTTCTACATTTTTTATGCCACAGAGTCCATATATAACTTCTGATTTAACATCTAGTAATGCATCAACTCTGGAATAGACTAGCTAGTTCATCCATAAGCAGGCATTCTTCTCCTTGGCACACACTGGCCCATATTTAGACTGCATTTCCCAGCCTCTTTGCATCTGGATGGCCCACAAAGTTGACTAGTCCTAGCCATCAACATGTGGCCAAAAACAGTGTGCATCCTTTTGAGACATAACTCTGAAACCTTTTTAAATCTTTTATGCATCCTCCTTCTTTGTACTTTTTGAATGGCCACATACAGAGGATTCAACAAGGATGAAAAGATTCTAGTGGATGGCAGAGCTCATAGGTGCCTCAATAACTATATGGAACAGAGCTACTTTCTCCACCCCAATAGACCACTTTCTAAGATATTCTTATAATTCTGTGATCATTTTTCACTTCTGTCATTGATCATGCAAGACTGGAAATATATCCCAATGCTTTTTCAAATCCTCTCTATAAGCAACTACAATTACTTAATAACATTCATTCAACATGAGTATTTGTTTAATAGAAAATGTGCATTGTCTTTAAATTTCCCATATTATTATATTATATGCATTCTATTATTCATAAAATACTCTAAATAATCATTTTATGCATTTAGATTCTACTCAATGATAATGCTATTATATATCCACACATTTTAAAAAGTAATACAAGAAATTAATACTTTAGTATTTACTACAAAAGCAAATGATGTCCTGATTTTCTTATGACTGTTGTACCTTATACATGTTGTAATATACAATACAAAGCCAGAAATTGAAAAAGAAAATCTTTGAGAGTCCAAAAACACATTCTCAAGTCACTGAAATAACACACAGTTGGTGTATGAATGAGTTCATGAATCATTTATCGTTGGTGATAGAAATAGAAATTGTTTACCTCAGAAGTCTATCTTTGTTACAGTACCCTGTAAATGCATTCAATATTTGAATCTCTCCTTTGTGAGAGAGAACTAGCATTCACCAAATGCTTATTCTATGCCAGGTGTTTTACATACATCATTGTACTTATCACTCACAACTCTGAGAGTTATTTATTTTTATCCCATTCCAGAGACAAAACACTTTAATGAAGAACTCAATTCATAAATGGCAGAGCCATGATTGGAGCCCACATCTAACTTACTCTTTCATGCAAATTCTCTCTAACACAAAATTTTCTCCGAAGATTTTCATCCATGTACTCTTTCATTACACCTTGTGTTTACTCTTACTTCCCTATTCTAAATATCAACACATGAGTCAAATAGATTTCATTACTTAATGATTCCTACAGTATGACAAATATAATACAGTTTTAAAAATCACATGAGATGGGATCACATTGACACACGGCCACTTCTATTGTTACTATAGTTTCTATACGATTTTCCTCCCATCCCTGTAAATCCCAGCTTTCAATCTCTGGTCGGCAGATTATATTGATCATTATCTTCACTGTTGCAACCATTTAATGATACTGCAATTAACCCCTCCTTGTTTCTCAACTATTTTATCTCCTGCCTAACTGCCACTCTCTTCAACATGACTCCTAATTTAGTTATTGGCAATTTCAATAAACACATATATGATATCCTTCCTAAAATTTGGCATCTTAATTCCTTAATCTTCTTTCCTCTAACATCTTGTCCTCCACTCTATTGCAGCCAAATAAGTCCAGGTCATTTATAGACATATCCATTACCAGTAGTGTCCATACTTCTATAATCCCTGTTTCATGCATCTATGTCTCTGATCATTATCTTCTATCTTTCTAGCTCATTTGCTCTAGTATCCCAACTCTAGCAGTCATTTGATGCCAACATGACCTTAAATCAATTGATCCCGCATATTTTTCAAGGCCCCTTAACATCTTTCATTAGGCAAAATTACAGCCCTACATAAATCTAACTCACTGTTTCTTCAACACCTGCACCTGTGCAATTAAAGATGCACAGAGAAACACACAGGTCTTAATGATCTCACTTTAAATTCAATTTGACAAATTGTTAGAGGACTCCTACAGCTGCCCACAATATAATATATTTAACCAGTCCATGTACTCTCCACTATCTTGGAGAACTATTTCACAGTTTTTCCTTTCTTCTGAACACCTCCACCCTAATGCTCTCAGTTCATGACTTTGCTTCTTTTTCCACTGATAAAATTGAAGTAACCAGGGAGAAGCTTCAGAAAGTCTCACAGCCTCATATATGTACCCACAACCAAACTCATATACTCTGTTCTCTATCAAGTTTCTTGAGATAAAAATATTCTCTCCTCAGTAAAACCTTCCCTTATGCACAAATACAATTCATTTCACCTATTTAAAACTACACATTGGAATTACTTCTTTTTCTTTGCGTCACTATTTTTTCCTTATGTAGTCATAGTAATCACCACCAGCAAAACAAAAATGTTATTCTTCTCCAATCTGAAACATAATCCTGCTTTAAACCACATTTTGCCCATTAGTTTTAATTCCAGTTGTCTTCTCCCTTTTACAACAAAATAGCTAGAGAGTGTTGACCATTGCTAGTAACACTAGTTCCATCCTCTTACAATTTGTAATCCTTTCCAATCAGGTGTTTCCTCTGATAATTACAACAAAAGCATCCTTGTCAAGATCACCAATGAACTCTGGATTGCCAAATCAAATGGCCATCTTTTCAATTCTTACCATACTTGGCTTATCAACATCAAGTCCATTGTCCTTGATATACTTTCTTTATTGGCTTCCATGACGCCACACTAATTGTTCTCTTCTAACCACGTTATTATCCCTGCCTACCTGACATTTCATTGAGATGTCAAATAGATATTTCAAAACTAGCATGCCCAAAACTGAAGTTTTCGTTTCCTTTGCCCCCTACAAACTTACTCCACTAAGATTCTTTCTCATTTCTCACATAGGTGGATGGCAATAGCATCCGCTCAGTTGATGAAACAAACATGCTGGCTTCATTTCAGATCTTTCCCTTCTCTCATATACACATCCAATTTGTTGGAAATCCTATTGTAATATCTTTACATATATGCAGAATTCCCAGTTATTTCTCAAAATTTCTATTGATACCACCCTGATACCAAGTCACAGTTATCACTTACGTGGATTACTATATTCCTTTCTAAACTGGTTTTCTTTCTTCTATGTGCAAACTGTTTTTGAACCCAGTAGGTACAGTGATCCTTGTGTAATGTAAGTCTCTCTTCTGCTCTAAATCCCCTACTAGTTCTTCATCTCAGTGTAAAAGTCAAGTGATTACAAGCACCTGTGAAACACTACAGTGAATATGATTAGGCTCCACTCCCTTTCTGACCTAATGGCTCCCTCATTCACTTACCTTTAGCCACCTGTCCTCTTTATTATACAGTGAACATACCAGATATACACATGCTTTGAAGGCTTGCACTGCCACTAGTCCTTAAGAGTGTTGTCCTCCAGATATCTGCTTAGATATTCCCCTAAACTTCAAGTCTTTGCTCAGATGCCACTTTCTCACTGAGGCCAATTTTGACCACCTAATTTAAAAATGCAACCTGATCCCCTTCCCTTCCCTCTGCTCTGTGTTTTCAACAGCACTGACCACTCTCTACTATCTCAATAATTTGTGTGTGTGTGCACATGTCTATGTGCGCACGTGTGTGGGTTTCCCTAATGTAACCCAAGTGCCTAGAATAGTCCCGGACAGTTGGTAGATGTTCAGAAAATATTTTCTATATAAAATAGTGAAGCATAAGCTTGCTCAAACTTATATCCTACTCACCTGGACACACACGCAGACACACACACACACACACACACACACACACACACACAGCCTTCTAAAGAGAATTGGAAATCTGTCCTCACTAATTGAAATATGACAGCCTACATCTAAAGGATAATTAATAATTATGTATATAGGATAATAAGCTCTCAAATTTGTGAGGAACCTTAAAGGTGGTATAATCCAACAATGCATGCAATATTTATATTTCTTCTATGTGTTTTTTTTCATATTGCTTTTCTAGTCTGTGCTTGAATACTGCAGTAATGGGGGACATTTTACATGGTTTGCAATGAGAAAATTGAAAGCCAATGTTATATACTGTTGCCTAAGATTACACAGCTATTAAAGATAGTAGCAAGGGGCCGGGCGCTGTGGCTCACACCTGTAATCCCAGCACTTTGGGAGGCTGAGGCAGGCGGATCACGAGGTCAGATTGAGACCATCCTAGCTAACACGGTGAAGCCCTGTCTCTACTAAAAATACAAAAAAAAAAAAAATAATAATTAGCCAGGTGTGGTGGCAGGTGCCTATAGTCCCAGCTACTCAGGAGGCTGAGGCAGGAGAATGGCGTGAACTCGGGAGGTGGAGCTTGCAGTGAGCTGAGATCCATGCCACTGCACTCCAGCCTGGGCACCAGAGTGAGACTCTGTCTCAAAAAAAAAAGATAGTAGCAAGGTTAGAATGTGACACCAGGTCTCTTTTCTAGTAGACTAGTGTTCTTTACTACACCCAACTCTCTGTAGAAAATTATGAGTGCATATAAATATATGTTTGCCAAATAAACCAAATAACTATTTTATTAACTGACAATTTAAAACAATTATACAACTAAAATAAATTTAAAAACATATCAAATGTCTATAAATGTAGACAACCTTCAAAACATTTAAAACATAATTTAAAATTTAAAATTATTTTGTAAGTTTTCTCATTATAAGAAAAATTTCGGTTGATAAAATCATATCCCCAAGAAATACTAGGCCTATAGAAAACAAAAAATAATAAAAAAGAACGTGGTAGAATATTCTATAGTTAACTTCAAAATACCATTTCAATATGCTTTAAAAAATCTATCTTCACATTAAATAGTTGAAGAATGGAAGCAAAAACATACGATATTTAGATAAAAAACAAAGCCCTTAAAAAAGAATGAAAGCAAAAATGTACAACATTTAGATAAAAAACAAAGCCCAAAATAAGTCAGGGAAAGATTGGCTATATAACTTAGAAAAGTCACTGTACTTTCTATTATCTAGTGAGAAGTAAGAGATACTGGATACAAACAAAACCCAAACACTATGTCTGAATTGTAAAGGTTTTTCATATTTTAGTTGTTTTGAACTTGTGATTAGCGTACCACACTAAGACACAAATGAATTTAAAAAGTGATAAAATGACATGAGACAATGAAATATTCATAATTATGATGCCTAATGACAGCACAGCAATCAGGAATAACAAACATCTAAGTACCCATTAACTCCTCAAATTTCTAAAGATCTTCATATCAGAGCTCTCCTGTGTAAAGATGTTATATTTAATGGATAAAAGGACAATTTTTATCACTGTGAAACTCTGAAATGTAAAACAGCTTGACTTTTTTGATGCACCATGTCAGCATATTATGTTCAAACAGACTTTTTTCTGGGCAGCTCAATAAAAACTTTTAAAACTTCAAAAGAATACAGTGTCTTAGGATCATTTCTCAGAAGAAAGTTCTTGATACAATGTCAGAAAATATATAAAGTTTGTTTCCAAAACAATAATCACACCTCATTACAACTTTTGTAAACGAATAATCAGTTATTATCTTTCTTCCTTTTGCTCTTTCTAGACTTGTGCTTATTTTTCATTATATGCACATGTTATTTGCAGGTGTTGGCTTACCTGCATCTTTATACACATACACCTATTAGTTTCTTGATCTAGAAAGTTAAAGTTACAGATATATGACTTTAGAATGGGAAGAGAATTTACTGTAGTCTATTACAATCTCCTGGTTTTGATAATGGAGAAATAGAAGTGAAAGTCTTAAAAATACCTACTCATTAACAGAACCCAGGTCTCCTGCCCCTAGTGGCAATGTTCTAATATTCCACACTGCTCCACTATATACTCTCTGAGCTGACAGAGGCTCACTAAACAAAATCTTTGCTAGGCCCTGATGTTTTTACATACATCTTAGGTTTGATAATCTTTGCTTGAATAGGAGATTTAAAAATGACTTCAACTTCAATTGCCAAAATTACTACCTGCATGGCAATTCTTTCACAATATACTGAATGTGTTAAATTACCTATTTGCAAAGACTAAATAAATAAAAAGAATCTTATTTGGTTTTCTAGGTGGTGAAAAACAATATTATCCAGTTCCTCTTGTTTCAAAATTAAATCGTATACTTTTTTTAAAGGAATGACTTTCACCTTGTAGCATGACAAGCTCTCGAAATTGTGAGAAACCTTAAAGTTACATACGTGGAGAGGCTTCTATTATTTTTCTTTGTTTTACTTGTCATATGAATTTTCCAAGAAAAAAAAAGCCAAACAAAAGTTAACTAAATTTTTTGTATAGTCAATCTTCCCTTTCAGGTGGAGATAGAGAGCTTAAGTTGTAAACAAAGCCATGATGGAGAGAAACTAATTTATTAGACCAGTTTTTTAAAATTTAATTTTAGTGTTTTAGGGTTCAAGAGAGTGGCCTCCTAGAGATCCTTCTAAAAACACTGATTTGGGCTTTTCCTTTAATCTTCCACTTATTTGAGGATTTTAACACACATCCTAGCTGATATGTATGCACCCTTATGTCTGTACACATAAAAGTGATTTTTTTTTCTCATCTCTTTTGGGCTTCTACCATTAGAAAAACTGATTTTATTTTCAGAAAGATAATCAGCAAAGAACTGGAATAATGCTATCTCTACATGGAGAAGGACTTTACTGGCTTCATTAAAACTTAAAATCCAAATGGTTTATGTAATTATTTATCCATTTATAAAATAAATACTATAGCTACTATCTACATCCCTATACTAATAAAGTAATAAATGCTAATAAAATTCAACTCTATAATATACGGAACCTGGCTTCAAAAAACAATGTCTTCATAAGGAAGAAGTTACACATGCAATCACAAGATGGACCGTGTCAAGAGACTTGGAAAAAGCCCACTCTAAAACATATATGACCCTAAAAAGAAAAATAAAAAGAGAAGTTGGCATTTTCAAATTGGATGACAATATGAACAATCTTCAGAAAATCCCAAATTTAAGAGATTGGGACTGCGAAAGCGGGGTAATTATTAACAGAACCAAGGATGCTCAGATTTGAAAATGTCTATAGACATAATCTGATTTAGCTATCAACATTGCCCTTAAATAAATTCTACAATATTCTTGAGCAGTGCGTTTGGTTACTTCCGACTAATTCCTGTGATGAAAATTTTTTTAAAAGAAAAAATATATAACTATATGTTTATCCCACCTTAAAAAATAATGGTTAGCCAAAAAAATTAGGAATTATGGTTTTGAGTTTTTGCATTAGAATGTTTTTACTCCTTATGCAATATTATTTGTGATATTGCTTATTTGTTCTTTCCTAAGTTTGATTAAGTATTTGAGCATACTAGAAAAAAAATATTTAAAAGAACCTAGTAATTAATCTGTGTTTCTAGTGTAAAAAGTTTGGTGAAGTTTTACTTGTAAATGGCAATCGCCATACTATTGCTGCCAGGGAAGAAAAGGAAGAAATATTTTTTCTTTAAAAAAGCCAGCCGGGCGCGGTGGCTCACGCCTGTAATCCCAACACTTTGGGAGGACGAGGCAGGTGGATCACAAGGTCAGGAGACTGAGACCATCCTGGCTAACACGGTGAAACCCCATCTCTACTAAAAATACAAAAAATTAGCCAGGCGTGGTGGGGGGCGCCTGTAGTCCCAGCTACCCAGGAGGCTGAGGCAGGAGAATGGCGTGAACCCGGAGGTGGCGCTTGCAGTGAGCCAAGATCGCACCACTGCACTCCAGCCTGGGCGACAGAGCGAGACTCTGTCTAATAAATAAATAAATAAATAAATAAATAAATAAATAAGTAAGTAAGTAAATAAATAAATAAATAAATAAAGCAAGCCATGGACAAACCAAGGCCTGCTATCAGGTTCATTTATATGGTTCCTATCCTTCTTTTTTTTTTTTTTTTTTTTTGATAGAGTCTTGCTCTGTCGCCCAGGCTGGAGTGCAGTGGCATATTCTCACTGCAACCTCTGCCTCCTGGGTTCAAGTGATTCTTCTGCCTCAGCTTCCAGAGTAGCTAGGACTACAGGCATGCACTACCACGCCCAGCTAATTTTTGTATTTTTAGTAGAGACGGGGTTTCACCATGTTGCAGTCTGGTCTCAAACTCCTCACCTCAGGTAATTCACCCACCTTGGCCTCCCAAAGTGCTGGGATTACAGGTGTGAGCCATCACGCCCAGCCAGGATTACTTTTTAAACTCAATTTTATTCTCCTAGCCTTTTCCTCTTCAGTGGGGATGCGAGTAAGACTTGACAGACTTAACATGGTCAAGCTGTACTCTTCATGGTGTCATCTCCACATCCGGTGCTTGTCCTATCCATGTTGGAGAATGGATTACTGAACCATGACATTATTCTATTCTAGAAGAAGGAACTGGCAAAAGGAAAAAATGCTAACTTTTCTCTGTTTACTGTAATACAATTTAAATCCTATGCCTGAATTGCTTACATATTAAGAAGACTCATTATATTTTACCACAGTGTGTCCTGGGGGTGATGCAAATAAACTGTTTCTACTGCTGAACACAGTAACCCTACTAGAATGTTAAGATGAGGTGAAATATATATCACCTTGGCACTACTGAAAACCATGTGACCTCTGTGGAGCCTTGGCATACCATCTATGATGCTTAGACTGTTAGAACAAACACCCATATACGGAAAGTGTGGTTTTACAGAGTGTTACTAAGTGGTTTGTCTGCAGGTTCTGAGAAAGTAATTTTTATTTCTGACCTTGACTGAAATAGGTATCTTTCAAGTCAGGGACAGTTAATTATCAACTCTAGTAAGGACATATTCATTACTGCAGAAACATAGAGGATCTATCCCAAATAAATGAGAATTATTAGAAAAATAAAGCAATTCTAAGTTATAAGACTGAAATTTTTGGAAAATCCATCATTTTGTTAAAGAGATGTTAATGTCCCTGTAACCATCATCGAGTTGTGTTAGTTCTAGCCTTTCTAATACGTACATAAGTAAAATCACTCTTCGAAATGGCAACCCAAACATCTCAACACTTCTATTTGATAGTTGAATATTCTATTTAGGCTAAACAGCCATAACTATTTTACTCCTCTTAATGTTCATTTGACATGGATTCAAGACCCCTGTTACCCTTTTTAAGCACACTCAGGTTTTCTTATGTTCCTCTTACAGAGCTGTCCATTGAAACAGAAAACAAAAATAAAACTGGCTTAAAAATCATAAACAAAGGTATTACCTCAAGAACCCAATTTCTATTTCTGCCTTTATACTATAGCATACAAAATTCTGATTATAATTTATTCACAGAAAATCAAAATGATTATATACACATGACATGTTAAAATATATTTTTAAAAAATGTAGTCACATATTGTTAAGATCTAAAGTGCCGAAAGATGTTTGAAAAATATTTTGGAAACCAGCCCTGAAAGATTATCTACAAACCCATGCCACAGTGTAATACTGAGCAACCATAATTTATTTTGATGAATGCTAATAGATAACTCTATTGAACCCAGAACCAAAGTGTTGCTATGAATGGAAGTGGCTAGCTAAAATATCTGTTTTGATCAAAATAATAGTATAATAATAATAAAATCAATAAATTTTAGAGTGTCAAATTTTATGCAATCAGCACACTGTATTCTGGAAATTATTATATTAAAATCATTTCCACAAATTTTTATTGAATTTTTCTTACGCTTTGAACTGTGTCATTACAGCAAAAATCCGAAAGTGCTTTATCATAAACAGGGTTTGCTGGTTTGAGTAAGGTTTGTGCTGTTTTTGAACAAATGGAGTTGAATTTCTTAGAATCTGTCCATGTTATATTTTCTATTTCTTCTGGTAATTGATAGTAACAACCTGAAAGATGGCTAACCTGAGTGTAAAGAGAAACTAACCCTGGGTGAGATGAGGCCAAGTAGCAAAAACTCATTTGAACATAATTACATCAATTAATCTCTAGTATGATAACCCATATATTTGTAAGCCCTTTGCAATTCGAAAACAGTATTTCATTTGTTCCTTACAATAAGTCTGTGAAGAAGATAAGGAATAACTTGAACCCCCTTTATAAATAACTCGTTCCTACTAAGCCTCAATTTTCTTAACACACCAAATAACATGATAACTAAGTGACTGAAACAGAATGAGATCCAGATCTCTGTTCTCCAGACTCATATTCTTCCAATCATCAGACAATGCTGTATGGAATGTCATGAAGACAAATTCTAGAAGATACCATAGACTCTTAAGACTACTCACAACAGCTCTGGATGGGCAGATGGATCTAAATAATTTTAAACTGTATGTAAGGTGAAATGATTTTGAATGGGTTAAATAAGTCTATTATCTTGGATAAGAGTTTGCTTAATTTAAAAGGCTTGTCTAGGTCTCTTTTTGCTTGTTATAAAATAATTTAAATATAAACCTTTATATAAATTGTTGACTCTCTGGGCTGTATAAGCAAAAGTAGGTCACTGATTAATCTAATTTTTGTTTTTATAAAAAGAAGAGAAAAATGTTAAGCAATCAAGTAACAATGAGCTTTTATAATTTGTTTCTCTTTTGTACAATAACCCATATGGTCCTCTAGAGCAGGTTTCTGTCCAAAGTTTTATGAAAGCCTCCTTTAAAAGAAGCTCCAAATTGGAATGCCAGAGTGCTAAACATTCAGCGAAGCATTTAAGAAAGCGTACAGGCTATAAAGGCTTCAATAGCCATTCATTTATACTAAAAACACTGCTTGATTAAATGAAAATCTAACTGCATTTGGGTTTCTTACATTTAATAAAGAACATTCTAAGAGATGTCAACCACATCTACCTACTTTTTGTTACTTGACATAATTAGTCCTTTCAAACTTGGTTTGTAAATGTATCACTGATTTTAAAACATGAATAAAATATACATGGCATATTGCCTTGGTACTCACATTTGGAAATACTGCAATAGGAATTCATAATAGACTGAAAGTTATGAACATTTTAAAATGATTCCAAAAGTGTATATTTGCCTTTATCTAGTCTTTTAAGGTGTAATAATTGTTATCATTATTGTAATTTGGTAAGAAGAATTCAAGAGCTGTTTCAGAAGCTAATTTGCTTAACTTACATTCTACTAATGCCATTGTAATAGGTATTGGAGATAATTAATGATATCAATTTCAATTGAATGAGGTTGCAGGGGAGAACAGATACTGATATTTTTAAAGCCAACCGAAAGTCTAGGGAAGAGGAAAATGTAGAAGAAGGCTTTTACAACATCCCCTTCTCCAAAGAGGTGGTGATAATGGAGTGAATAAATTGAAAGTCGAACAGGAGAATAAAATACAAATAAAATTTTTAAAAGAGAAACAGAAAAGGAGAGTGGGGAGCCTATGACTAGAAATAATGGGATAAAATGAAGGTATTTTAAAGTCTTAGGATATGACACAATATGCAGCAAACATCAGGGTGATTTTTGAGAGTTCTTTGGAGATTTTCACTTGAAATTTCAAGTTAGCCACAAAGTAATTCATTATGATGACATTTTTCCTTTAATATGACAACTTTTCATATATTGTTCTAGAAGATAAATTAAAAGTATAGATATTAGTTTATAATCACTGTTAATTTCTTCACTTACTTGTGGGGTTATGAAAACTAACACAAACAAAATCAATCATCTCATCGTTTCTGCTAATATGGTATATGCCAGCAAAATTTACTTTTCTCATACCTCCCTCAAACATAATGCATGCACAAGTTCTTTTCTCTCTCTCTCACTCTTTGTCTTTTTTCCTTTTTTTGTAATTAAAATGCATCTCTGGGATCCCAGGATAAGGATAAAATAATTTTAAAAACTACCTAGGTAAAAATGTACAAACATCAAAATTAAAAAGAATTTGTTTTTCAAAAAAAAGAGATAAGGAAGAAAGGAAAAGCAAAGGGCCTTTACCTTGATCCTTTTCTGTTACAAATTAAAATCACAAAGATAATTAATTTTAACCAAAAGTTATTAATTTGCTTCAAAATGATTTTCTTTTTCTTTCTTTTAATTTAAGTTCTGGGCAACATGACTATCTTTCTAATTATGAGAGTGAAAAAGGAATGGAACATATGGTTAAAATACAAGTTTGGAAAAACATATTCTCAAATGTTTTATACTATTATGACTGATTAACTTTCAGAATGTAATATATCAAAACCTAAGAAAATAATAGTTTTGAAATCTTACACAATGATTAAGAAAGAACAAAGAATCACACAAAAACTATTTTCTTTAAAACATTTTCAACTTCATTTTCTTTTATTTCAATCTTCAGTTGGAAATATTTTTCTTCCTCATTTTAATTTCATTTAGATGTTTTTGTGGATCTTACATAACTAACAACATTGATAGTTTGTAAGGTATTTTTAAAGTCCTTATTGAGGTCTTGAAAGCACCATGCATTTTTAGAAACAGTGGCATTAAAAAATAATAAAATAGCCAAACATCTACGTATATTAATTGCTCTGCACCTTCAAGATTATTCTATAATTTTTCATTCTAAAATGGTACCCATCCATTGCCTTTGATAGACTAATGGATATAAGTACCACAGCTTCTGGTGCTTTTTCTTATTTCTGAAGCTTTTGTTTGAGTTTGATGAAAAGGACTATATTGAGAAGAGTAATGTTAGCTAACTTTTTTTTTTTTTTTTTTTTTTTTTTGAGACAGAGTTTTGCTCTTGTCACCCAGGCTGGAGTGCAGTGGCACAATCTCAGCTCACTGAAACCTCCACCTCCCAGGTTCAAGCGATTCTCCTACCTCAGCCTCCCAAGTAGCTGGGATTACAGGTGCCTGCCACCATGCCCATCTAATTTTTTGTATTTTTAGTAGAGACAGGGTTTTGCCATGTTGGGCAGGCTGGTCTTAAACTCCTGACCTCAGGTGATTCACCTGCTTCAGCCTCCCAAAGTGCTGGGATTACAGGCGTGAGCCACCACGCCCAGCCTACTTTTTTTATTATGCGCCAGGCACTTGAGTATTTAAGATAGATTAGTTCATTTTTTTTCCTCACTACGTTCACCTACAGTAGGTATTTTACTACCTTCATTTTAGAGAGGAAGAAACTGACAGAAAAAAAGTTTAAGAAGCTTACCTAAGGTTCACATATCTAGTGAATGGGGAGCTGAGTTTTCAACCCAGGTAGTGTCAATCTAGACATTGGATTGATTATTCTATACATCCTCTATAGACCTTTTTTTTATTTACAGCAAAACAAAGCAAACTAACAAATGACAAACACTTCTCAGTGGTGAACATCCTATTAAAAGAGCATTCTATTAATAATCTACAGATGCAAAATTGTAATGTATGCTACTTTTAAAGTCATGAATAATTAAACAACATGAGTCCTGGACAAATTTGCAGCACAATCAGCAAGCATTCTCCACATTTGTCTAAATTAAGAAATTCACTGCACTCTTTAAAACTCTTAATCATATGGATAATAGCAGAAAGTACTTCCTTCACTGCCTAGACTAACTCAACTATTTGGTACCTAAAATATCCAATTTAAGGGTAGTTTGAAAGAATTTTATCAAATCACCGCAAATTCTGGAGCTAAGAATAGTTCCCTCATTGTCAAAAAAATCTTGAGGAAGCAAGTGTCAGTTCAGAAAAGACAAAATGACCAGAAAAAGATATATTAGCCCTCATTTTATTGAACAAAATTCCTCAATTTTCAACTAGGAAAAGCAACAGTTTTTTTCCTTCAAAATGTATTAAATTTATCATTTTAATAAAAATAGCATCAGAATAAACATTTGGGAGATTTAACTTAATTTTCAGGTGGCAAGGAAAATTCATATTAAGGTCCTGATTCAGAAGGTATGAGTGGGTATAAAAAAATACTAAGCTACATATTGGGAGGCCAAGGCGAGTGGATCACTTGAGGTCAGGAGTTTGAGACCAGCCTGGCCAACATGGTAAAACCCTGTCTCTACTAAAAATACAAAAAATTAGCTGGGCATGGTGGTGGGCACCTGTAATCCCAGCTACTCGGGAGGCTGAGATAGGAGAATCACTTGAATCCAGGAGGCGGAGGTTGCAGTGACCCAAGATTATGCCATTGCACTCCAGCCTGGGCAAGAAGAGTGAAACTCCATCTCCAAAAAAAAAAAAAAAAAGACTAAGCTAGTTATATTTTAATTATCTTTCAGTTTCATCTTTCCACAAAATGTTATTTTATTTCCATGACAGTAGATTGCAGTAGCTGCCCATTATCTAGATTAAGAGAATTTAAAACTGAATTAAGACAGGGCAAATAAGTAACCAATTGAACAATTCATAGCAAGATATTTTTATGGTATTTCCCAAATGACTTTAGAGAGATAAAAACATGATTTGTTAAATAATACTGAAAGTTGAGTTTCATCATTATTAAATATATGTTTATTGAAATATCATCTGCTAACTTGCATAATTTACACAATCAAGAATATATAACTAAGACAATTTCTAATGTACATTTAAAATCTACGTTTCTTATACATGAGCTCAGAAAATGATTTCCCTATTTTGAAGATAAGAAGAAAATGTAAAGATGAAAGATAAGTTACCTGTAGATCAGAAATTTATCACCATATTTTGATAAGTTTTTCCTCCCTTTCTTTGGTGTTAATATACATTTTATGTACTAATTCACTCACTCATTCATTATTTAAGATAAAATGCTTTCTCTTGAGATTGTAACACATCATCATCATCTATTCATAGTATAGTCCTTAAGCATGCTTACATGGGAAAGAGATTATCCTGGTTAAACTGTCAACTTTGATATTTACTAGCTGAATGGCATTGGAAAGTTACTTTAACTCTGTAACTGCCAGAATCCTCATCTATAAAATGAGGATAATAAAATGTAATCTCTAAAGAACTTTTATGCTAACCCCAACTGTTTTTCTCTAAAAACTAGATGAGATAATTCACAGAGCCTAGCACAAAGTTAATATCCAATAAATACTATCAAGTATCAAGTAAAAAATTAATAATGAATTTGCCTACCTAAACACTCTGGAACTCTTTCAATAACAATACCTCATAAGAGCTCTGTATGGAACTAAGCAATGGAAACTCTATCAATAAAGACTGAGCTATTGAACAATACCACCACCAGGTCCAGTTGGGAATGCCATGACATTGTATCATGAAATACAAGGGCTGTAGCAGGCAGAATAATGACAGGAAGTAACTGAGAGAAATTAAGATAAAGTTCTCCATAGGTGATTATGTGCTGTAGAGCTTGATAGGTGCTCATTGTGATCTGAGACAATATTGAATCTGCAGATTTAGGGACATAGTTGCTATGGCATGTTCTCAAACTCAACTAAGGAAGAAAAGGCTCAGCAGAACATGGAACATCTTATAGAATAAATATTTTCAAAAAGTTTTACATGTAACTCAGTTAAAAAATAAATCCCAAGAACTTTTAAGTGACCAAGAACAGTTTGCTTTTAAAAGAAGGTTATATTTAAAACTTTCTAAAAAAAAAAAGGCAACTTCTGCAGTGAGAGTGATTAGACAATATGCACTATAATGTACTTCCTTTCAAAGATCTGAGTTTGCATATTTTCCATCCCTTCCTGATGAAACAGAGTTGAATAAATACAAGGAAGGCTATAAATGTGTCAAATAGCATATTATGCACCTCATATTAGAACTATTTCCTATAGTGTTATTAATTCATAAATTTCTTTAGTTGCTGCAATTCAGGATTGGTTCTAGCAAGGTTTTGTCTATAGTGTTGAAATAATGAATACTCCTATTTACAGTTTGGAAGAATCACTCTTCATATAGGTAGGAAGGAGGTGGAATTCTAAATGTTAACTGGTCTCTATTAAGTAATGTTTAAGATAAATGTGGAGATAAAAACATTTACAAACACATTCTGAATTTAGTAATAATTAAGTTTCCTCCTAAGTTTGTGTGTGAAAACTTATGTTGGCACATCTACATCTGAAAGGTTTAATGTACATCCTGTGTTATACCATCTGCAGTCTCTAAAGACCTTTTATGCTAATAGGTCACCATGGGTAACTATACTCAAACTCACACTCTTAATTCTAGAATGTAAATTGCCAGAAAAGAAATAGAGTCCATGTTTAAAATCTTTTCTCTTGTTGATCCTAAAGTTAAGTAATATAGTAAGCTTTGTAGATTGCATAGTTTATTACAACGTGTAAGAAAGACTTATTGTCAACAAAAAGTAACATTCAAATCTAAAAAAATGGCATTTTTCCTCATCACTTAACAATTGTAAATAAATATTTATTGATGTATTTGATTTTTTAAATCCTAGCCCTACCAGATCTATTAGACATGAAGGCAACAGATCACATTTGTTTTGTTCTGCACTTATTAGATAGTTCAGTACATTATTCATTCACCTATCAGTGCTTACTGAACAATCCCCAAGGTCTAGACACTGTTAGCAGTAAAGGTTATGCTGCTGTAAACAAGGCAGACCATATTGCTGCTTTCCTGCAGTTTACTTTCCTGTAGGCAAGACAAAAGATAAAGACAAACAAATACAAATATTTATATTTCCATACATATTTGCAGAACATGTGGAAGAAAAATATTAATATTTATTTTGATCATTTTGTATCCATATTCTCATATAATCTGAATATAATTATCTGCACAACTTTCTTGAAGTGTTCTTCTAATTCTCTATTTTGAAGACAAGATAGAATATATTTTCCCTTCAACAATGAGCTACCAATTAGTCTTGATTTTACTTTATAAATATGCATGAATGTTTACACACATCTATGCATATTGTTGTAATCGAAAAAGTCACTTAAAAATAGATTATTATGAATATTATTGTAATCACTTTTCTATTTTTGTAATTAAGCCAGAAATGTCTGCCTGTTTGTTTACCAGCTGTCAATGAACAAAGTTAAAACGAGTGTCATTTCTCTACTCTCTGTCATAAAGTAATAAAACATTTATTAATAAACTGTATTAAAAAGGTTACATTGAATTTATCAGAGTGCTCTTTCTAGGCAGCCCAAAGGAAGAGTAGGCAACATCTGCATAGGTACATTCGTCATTAGTCCTCCCCAATCAAGTGCATATTTAATATACAAACTGTTCTATATTTACTCAATATAAGTATTTACATTTCTATACAATGATATTTTAATAATACATTAACTTCAGTAAACAAAATGATCCCCAAAATACTTTCATTTATAAATGTTTATGTGAGCCCAACCACTTCTCATTTATCAAGCTCATGTCTTTAAAAAATCAATTTGTACAATTAAGAAAAACTTTGAAAACCAGTGTACCTAATTTCACTGGTAATTGAACTATTATTCTCCTGCTTTCCCTTTGATGTCAGCTTTCTTCTCCTGCTGTGAATACAGGGTTCCTTTAGGACCCAAGTTTGACCCCACATAGCAGTACCCATCAATGCCACCTCAGTGATCATAAACTCCAAAAATCTCAACTCAAACCAACACCACTTTTTTTAAATGGCTGGTTCTATTTTTAAAATATTATCAGTTTTTCTTCCAAGTTATTATTTTCACCTATTAATTAAAACCATTGTGCTACATCAAAAAGCTTATCCACCATGATCAAGTGGGCTTCATCCCTGGGATGCAAGGCTGGTTCAATATACGCAAATCAATAAATGTAATCCAGCATATAAACAGAGCCAAAGACAAAAACCACATGATTATCTCAATAGATGCAGAAAAGGCCTTTGACAAAATTCAACAACTCTTCATGCTAAAAACTCTCAATAAATTAGGTATTGATGGGACATATTTCAAAATAATAAGAGCTATCTATGACAAACCAACAGCCAATATCATACTGAATGGGCAAAAACTGGAAGCATTCCCTTTGAAAACTGGCACAAGACAGGGATGCCCTCTCTCACCACTCCTATTCAACATAGTGTTGGAAGTTCTGGCCAGGGCAATTAGGCAGGAGAAGGAAATAAAGGGTATTCAATTAGGAAAAGAGGAAGTCAAATTGTCCCTGTTTGCAGATGACATGATTGTATATCTAGAAAACCCCATTCTCTTAGCCCAAAATCTCCTTAAGCTGATAAGCAACTTCAGCAAACTCTCAGGATACAAAATCAATGTGCAAAAATCACAAGCATTCTTATACACCAACAACAGACAAACGGAGAGCCAAATCATGAGTGAACTCCCATTCACAATTGCTTCAAAGAGAATAAAATACCTAGGAATCCAACTTACAAGGGATGTGAAGGACCTCTTCAAGGAGAACTACAAACCACTGCTCAAGGAAATAAAAGAGGATACAAACAAATGGAAGAACATTCCATGCTCATGGGTAGGAAGAATCAATATCGTGAAAATGGCCATACTGCCCAAGGTAATTTACAGATTCAATGCCATCCCCATCAAGCTACCAATGCCTTTCTTCACAGAATTGGAAAAAACTACTTTAAAGTTCATATGGAACCAAAAAAGAGCCCTCATTGCCAAGTCAATCCTAAGCCAAAAGAACAAAGCTGGAGGCATCACACTACCTGACTTCAAATTATACTACAAGGCTACAGTAACCAAAACAGCATGGTACTGGTACCAAAACAGAGTTATAGATCAATGGAACAGAACAGAGCCCTCAGAAATAACACCGCTTATCTACAACTATCTGATCTTTGACAAACCTGAGAAAAACAAGCAATGGGGAAAGGATTCCCTATTTAATAAATGGTGCTGGGAAAACTGGCTAGCCTTATGTAGAAAGCTGAAACTGGATCCCTTCCTTACACCTTATACAAAAATCAATTCAAGATGGATTAAAGACTTAAACGTTAGACCTAAAACCATAAAAACCCTAGAAGAAAACCTAGGCATTACCATTCAGGACATAGGCATGGGCAAGGACTTCATGTCTAAAACACCAAAAGCAATGGCAACAAAAGCCAAAATTGACAAATGGGATCTAATTAAACTAAAGAGCTTCTGCACAGCAAAAGAAACTCCCATCAGAGTGAACAGGCAACCTACAAAATGGGAGAAAATTTTTGCAACCTACTCATCTGACAAAGGGCTAATATCCAGAATCTACAATGAACTCAAACAAATTTACAAGAAAAAAACAAACAACCCTATCAAAAAGTGGGTGAAGGACATGAACAGACACTTCTCAAAAGAAGACATTTATGCACCCAAAAAACACAGGAAAAAATGCTCACCATCACTGGCCATCAGAGAAATGCAAATCAAAACCACAATGAGATACCATCTCACACCAGTTAGAATGGCAATCATTAAAAAGTCAGGAAACAACAGGTGCTGGAGAGGATGTGGAGAAATAGGAACACTTTTACACTGTTGGTGGGACTGTAAACTAGTTCAACCATTGTGGAAGTCAGTGTGGCCATTCCTCAGGGATCTAGAACTAGAAATACCATTTGACCCAGCCATCCCATTACTGGGTATATACCCAAAGGACTATAAATCATGCTGCTATAAAGACACATGCACACGTATGTTTATTGCAGCATTATTCACAATAGCAAAGACTTGGAACCAACCCAAATGTCCAACAATGATAGACTGGATTAAGAAAATGTGGCACATATACACCATGGAATACTATGCAGCCATAAAAAATGATGAGTTCATGTCCTTTGTAGGGACATGGATGAAATTGGAAATCATCATTCTCAGTAAACTATCGCAAGGACAAAAAACCAAACACCACATATTCTCACTCATAGGTGGGAATTGAACAATGAGATCACATGGACACAGGAAGGGGAACATCACACTCTGGGGACTGTTGTGGGGTGGGGGGAGTGGGGAGGGATAGCAGTGGGAGATACACCTAATGCTAGATGACGAGTTAGTGGGTGCAGCACACCAGCTTGGCACATGTATACGTATGTAACTAACCTGCACGTTGTGCTCATGTACCCTAAAACTTAAAGTATAATAATAAAAAAATAAATAAATAAAACCATTGTGCTAATCCAAACTAACACAGGAACAGAAAACCAAACACCGCATGTTCTCACTCATAAGTGGGAGTTGAATAATGAGAACACAGGGCACAGGTAGGAGAACATCACACACCAGGGCCTGTCGGGGGTGGGAGGTAAGGAAAGGGAGAGTATTAGGGCAAATACCTAATGCATGCGAGGCTTGAAACCTAGATGATGGGTTGATAGGTGCAGCAAACCACCATAGCACATGTATACCTATGTAACAAACCTGCTCGTTCTGCACATGTATCCCAGAACTTAAAAACAAAACATCATTGTGCTGATCAATGACTTTGTTTTAAAACTATTTATTTTATACTATAAATCAGAAAATTATAATTAAAGCATTCATTTTAGTAATATCTAGAATCTAATTTAAAATTTTCAATTTAATGGCACTAGATAAAAAACAAAGAATTGATTGATCTAACCCTTAAACACCGTGTATTCAGACAGATTTTCTGTTATCAAAAGACAAAGTTACTGAGTTTTACTCAAGACATAGAAAATGCTAATAACTAGCTAACACAGAGGAGTGCCATCTTTCATTCTTAACCGGAGTTAACACCCAGAGAACAGGATATGGAGACTTTTTAGATGTTAGACAATGCCAGTGACAAAATTAAAATAAATATTTCCTTTGTAAATGAAAAAAATCTGAAATATGCATAACATCTCATTATGCAAGCTACACAAAATTGTAGAATCACAACCATAAGTTACATTAGAAATAACTAGAAATAATTTTGTTTGCTTTATGAACTGTATTCCTTAAAACACCATAAACTTTAACTTATGCTATACCTGTCAATGATGTTTAGCAGAAAGAGCAGTAGACAAAGAAAGGGAGTTAGGTTTTGTTTTTATCCTGTCACTGAGGATGTTCTACCTATGTGAAGCAATTTATATCCGTGAGTCTCAGTTTCCCCATCTGCAAAGTAATATAGAACAAGTGGCTGCTGATTTACATTATATTTCTAAATGTTATATGCCTATTAAATCCAAGCAGCTTATATTTGACATAGAAAAGTGCTATGAACTAGGACATCTTATTTCCTCCATTGATTTTAATTATGCTTTTTTTTAAAAAAAGGTTTTTTACTGACATATCAATATTTAATTTACTTGATATTAAATTTTCTTTATTTTCTAAATTTAAAGGTATTTGTGATTTTTTACTTTGTTTTTAATACACATAATTTAATGCCTATGAATCATTAACTTGTTCTCTCTACTTGCAATATCCTTATCATTTTTTGTAGATATTTCTGTGGGAATTTCCTACTCATATTTTCTCATTAATATTAACATCATCTTCTCTGAGCTTCCATACTGCACTTGGAACATATTTTATGTATTTTAGCATCTTCCGAATGTTATACGGAGTATTCAACAAATGCTTATTGAGAAATGATTAACTGTGATTAGGTTGGTGAGGACAGAAAGATACCCAAAATTTGGTTTCTTTTATAAAAGACTTAATCATGAAATATGGAACAGCAAGCGTGTTGGACATAAAAAGAACATTAGGCAGTATATGTAAAGAAAAGGACTCCAGAGCAAAGTCAATAAATGGAAGAAAAAGTGTTGCTTGTGTGTATATTCCATGCTAGGCACAATGCAATGTACTTTCACCTTTGTAATCTCTAATATGAGATATTTTAAAAGTATAAACACATTTTTATAGTTTCAGTAACAAGAAAAAAAATAATATTCAAATATAAGTGGACAATAAATTTTTAAATAAAGTATATTGATATCCAAAAATATAAAGCCCTTAGACAAATTATGTTAAAAATCTGTAACTTTCTAACAAATAAATAATCCTGGGCCAGGAGCAGTGGCTCATGCCTATAACACTGAAGCTTTGGGAGGCTGAGGCAGGAGGATTGCTTAAGGTCAGGAGTTCAAGACATGCCTAAACAATGTAACAACACAAAAACAAAACAAAACAAAATAAAATCCAAAGATGAATACAGAAAAAACATAGATAGATGTAACTGTATATGAGAATGTAGTAAATCTGCACTTGTCACAAGTTATTATGATTATTAGTTTACTTCTTAGTATTTCCTACTAAATTAAAATAGTGGAGGGCTGAGGCTGTGTTCTTTACTGATATATATACAATGCCTACATAGCAAAAATCTACAAAAATATCTTGAATGGATTAATTTACAAATGCATACATACAGGAAAAAAAGGTTAGCATTTAATGCTGGGAAGGTACTATGAATTGGGCACTGTCAAACACTCACTTCTGACCTAGATTCGAAACTTGGAAACAAAAGCCCACTGAAAAATTCTTCACTCATTCATAAGCTATTTCCTTGCAGGAAGCTTACATTTCCACAGACGCTTTAACCTTAATATACCCCCAGTGAACTTATCTTCTCCAATAAACTTGCTCTTCCTGCATTTTTGTATTTTGATTAATGGTTCTACCCCTGACTCTATCAGCCAGGTTAGCGACAGAGCAATCACCTCCCTTCCTCTAAATCCTATTTCCACTTAGACTCTTAGTTCTTTGCTTTTGCTTTCTAAATGTGTCTCTCTTCTTTACTACATCTTCACTCTCATTTTCTTCCTTTGAAACCACTACAATAAACTTTTAATTGACTTTCCTGCTTTCAATGTCAACCCTGCTTCAATCAATTTTCCAAAGTGCAGCTACATTGTTACTTCTTGTCTTGAAATTCCTTAGTGATCCCCTGTCTTTGACAGGATAAAGTGAAAGTCCTTTTGTAGAGTGGAAAGGCCTTTTCCCTAATTTGCCACCTTCATCTCTTCACCCTGGCTGCACTGTAAGCTTCGCACACTGAACCACTTGCCATTCCTTAGACATACCAAATTCTCACACTTACAGGTTTCACATCTGCTAGTCCCTGGGTGCCCATTCCAATCTTAGACAATGGTAGGGTCACATCCATTATACTAGGCTAGACCAAAGTGACACTTCTTATAGAAGTTAATCTTTCCTTAACTCTCCTTTGCAGATATAATAATTTGCTTTGTAACACCCCTGTACTTCTATACAATCCATTATTATACTTATATTACTATATTACGTGCCTGTCTTCCCTACACAATTTCTGTGTATCTCCAGTGTCTGGCACATACTCCCAATTCAAATTTTTTTCAATGTTTGTTATTGTACAAGTGGTACCAACTGACAAGCGCAAGATGAAACAGGACCACTCAGGTAAACTGAGTGACTCAATATATTTTAATTTCAGTATTTATTTAAATCAAATTAATAACAATCTTGCACTTTTGCATTTTCATAGGCCTAAACTAATATACGTTCTCTACCATTCAATGCTAACCAACTAAACTCTGCATGTTAAAGAAGAACAAAAAACAAAAAACTGCATGGCTTTAAAAGCAGCATGATACTAATTAGAATATATAGATTAAAAACATAAAATATAATATTGATTATATGGCTTCTACTATGTTAAATGGATGGCAAAATGTTTATATTAAGAATGGAAAAAATACCATAATTACATTAAATTGTATCTTTAGTTTCTTGACACAACTTATCTTCTTGGCTATCTAATTATCTTAACAATATTTTTGAAATGATTCCGAAATGTTTGAAATTACTGTGTTGTTTCAATGGCTTAAATGAAGAAGAGGTAAAAACATGGTATGTTTTAGATATATCGGCAAGAGTGTTATTTATTTTGACCTGCCTTTAGAAGCAGAAAAAGAACTTGCTTCTGGGTTACTGTATCCAATTCTCCTTCCTTTTCATAACCAATATGTCTAAAAGATTATCTACTGTATGAATAAATTTCAATTCCCAGAGCCTGTGCCTAATGTTAATAAGAATGTCTATTCTAATATAGAAAGTATATGTGATAGAAGAGTAAATGCAAGGTATGTGTCCCATTTTTTACTTGATATTTGTTTGAAAATGTGTAATTTTTTCTACTTGTCTATTAAAAATAAAAAGTACCTCCATAGCTATGCCCTTGTTACTCCACAATGATTCTGGAGGGATGCCTGAGATTATTTTAGAAGGCTTTAGAGGAAATAAGAAAAAAACCAAATAGCAAACTTAGAGTTCATTCAGGAAGAAAGATAATAGAGTCATCTCTATTAGCTAGCTTAATGGGAAGGAAACGCAGCTTAGAAAATATAAAATTAAACGCTCTGATGCTTCCATGTAGTAAAACTATGATAGGGAAGGAGAGGAGTGAGAAGTAATAGGTGAAAGGAAAACTGAGCAAATCTGTTGAATTGTAGTGATGATAATAGAACAAAATTATAAGTGAATATTTTAAACTACAAATCATCTTTACAATATTTGAAGTTTACCATAAGGTTAGTTTGTTTAATCTTCCTATTGCTATGTTTAATCTTCCTATTCACCCAACAAGTGAATGATGTTCTATTTGTTTCTAAATGTTTAATGCATTGTTCCAAAGATCAGTACAAACATGTGAAAAGCCATCTTCTGAATCTGATATGCTAGTATTCAATATGAACTTCATTTGTTTATATTGGTAAAAAGTATTTCGTTCCTGGTATTTCTTCATAACATGAGACCTGGAAGTTAATCCTGAAGCACTAAAATGTTAAACACACCACTGAAGAAAAAACTTTCTCATCAGATTTTATTTGGTTCTCAATCTCTGGATTTAGAACACCATGGAGTTATTTCAAGGAATTTTCCAGGCCAAATGAACAAGTAACAATGCTATCAAAGCAAATAAATATGTTGCCAAACACATAAGTGTTGTGACTGATGTTATAATTTATTAAAGTATTATAAAAGTATTGATTCAGCACAGTTTTGGTCATTATGAGTGCCCCAATTCACAGAGAATGCTATTCACCTTTCATATAGAATCAATGAGAGTATTTGACATTATTTCTGAAAGAGCCTAGGATTATGATCTAGACTTAGTGATATAAATCAAATTTTATATGTAATCATTCTTTGACTTTGCTTCCTATGGCATCACTATGTAATTTGTACAGTTTACACTTTACTATTTGTAGTCAACCCAACACCCACTCTGACTCTTAGGTCCACTCAATATAATTTTGTTTTCTCTTGTGCATTCTAACTCTAGTGTTGATACTAATTTTAGATGTGAGAACTGAAGCCACTTGCATTTTCCAGGTCTCAGCAATAAAGAATAAAAATTAGACAAGATTTACTCTAAAATTCTTTTCAAATCTAACATTTCATAACCCTCTGACATCTCTGACATCAACCCTCACACCTTAGAGAACATGGTGGCAAATACACAGCAGGTGCTTAATGAATGCTTGTTTAATTAATATGGCAGAGCCTTTACTACTTTATCTATCTAGGCTGACTGCAGGAAGATTGTGTATCTTAAAGTTTTTCACAAAACTAATTGTTGGAACATCTCAGAATTCTCTCCAACTGATTGATTTGAAATCATTGGCTTTATATTCTTCCCATAAAACTGTGGGGTTTTACGGCTTTATAGACAATAATGAGTACACTTAATTACACATGCACAGAAGCAATAATCTCTAAAGACAATTTAATTTCTGAAGCCATGTACTGCAATCTCAGCCATATCATAGAGTTACACAAATCAAATGCGGATGAAGTATAAGGATGAAAACCAATTTGTTGTACTTTGCAGTATTCTAAACCTATCCTTAAATTTTGGGTAACTAGTAACTAATAAGGTATATTAGAACTAAATAATGTAATAGGTACTTTTAATTAGAATGAGATGTTGTTGGTAAAAGATACATAATTCACACTGAATACAGAAAAATGCATTCCTTTTTTGGAGAAAAATGTAAAAATTAAATGTAATAATTAAAGACACAATTAATAATTAAAGACACAATTGACATGAGTTAGGTATGATACATATATATACATAGTGGTTGAAATATTGTAAAGGTTAATGAAATATTAATACAAAAATTACCTAATTTACAATTAATGCATATGTTAGAGAATTTGATGCCATCATTTTGATGTTTTTTTCAGAATATTTACAACTCATAATAAAAGCAGGTCAAAGTGTTCCTAACAGTTTATTGAAGAAGTTTGATATATATAATACTTCTGTTCAATAAAGTGTTGAATATATAAATGATTCATAAAAATTATCTGCAATTAGGGCCCGGCGTGGTGGCTCACACCTGTAATCCCAGCACTTTGGGAGGCCAAGGTGGGTGGATCACGAGGTCAGGAGATCAAGACCATCCTGGCTGACAGGGTGAAACCTAGTCTCTACTAAAAATACAAAAAATCAGCTGGGCATCGTTGAATGCGCCTATAGTCCCAGCTACTCTGGAGGCTGGGGCAGGAAAATCGCTTGAACCCGGGAGGCAGAGGTTGCTGTGAGCTGAGATTGCACCACTACACTCCAGCCTGGTGATGAAGTGAGACCTCGTCCCAAAAAAAAAAAAAATTATCTGCAATTAGGATGTCACAATCTGATTTTTTTTCCTTCACATAAAGTACAATAATTCAGTACAACAAAAAAAAGATATCATTCTTGGTCAAATGAAAAAATTTACACATGGACACTTCTAGTACACCTGTTTTAAAGGCTTAGTTTAGTCTTTTTTCATCGTAATCAGAATAAGTGGCCAATATGTCAACACAAATTGCAAATAAACTAATAAAAATGCAAACCTAAAATTTACATGAGTGGCTTTGGCTAACACTTAATAAATCCATTGGAATAAAAAGGAAACATTTATACCAAACTTTTACACATAGAAACAGTAACTTCCTACACGTGTGATGCTGAAAGCTTCAAAAGTCTAGGAGAAATGAGTTATTTCACAAATGAGTTTTGATTTAAATGTAAGTTCAAGGTAGTTATGAAAAACATTAGGGGAAATTGGAAAGACCTTGTTAAAATAATTGAGCTTACAGAAGCAGTGATAAGAATGTAAATCTGAAAATTGCCTCTGCATCACATAGCTAGCTAAATATTCTGAGAAGTAGAATCATTCTTCTTTCTCTCAAAGCAAAATTGGAGTTTTAATAGGCGCAAAGAAAAGTAGTACAGAAAGCAGAAGCACCTGGATTTCCAACTCTTGACAGAAATGTTAAGGCAAATGTAAAAGAGTATAGTTTTTTCTTTTAGGTTTCTAAAATGGAAGATAAACGCCAAATTTTAGTTTTTTATGATCTATTACGAACCATGAATGTATTTAGTTTTTTGGAATAAACAAATATTTCCACCTTTTCCTACTTTGAGCACCATCAATGAATGTTTAAGGTATGTATGAATTTGTTTTTGTATACTTTCCTTCTTTATGTTTCAATGTGTGCCTCCTCCCTCCAGAAATCTGGAATTCTGA
Source organism: Homo sapiens (assembly GCF_000001405.40). NCBI lineage: Eukaryota > Metazoa > Chordata > Mammalia > Primates > Hominidae > Homo > Homo sapiens. The sequence continues at coordinate 120,315,936 of NC_000007.14, read as the reverse complement.
TACATCCACAAACACCTTTGGAAATGTTACCTAAAGATTCAATCACCTTCAATTTTCATCAGTTTTCAATGGATCAAATTTTTAGTCCATCTCACTATGTCTTAAAAATCTCAAATATTACACACACACACACACACACACACACACACACACACACACACACACACACACTGCTTATGGAAAAACCACAAAACATTTCGTGTCTCACTGCTTGACTTTCCCTACATTGACAACAATGATTTATGACTATGAAATTTACAGTATGCTGATAGAGGGGAACTATTTCAAGTGACTGACTTTCTGGGGGCTTTAGGGACTATCCCATAAGGGTGGCACCAGAATTTGTTGAAAATTTCATAGGCACTACGTGTGTTATTTTCTGTATCTGGCAAAATAATCGACACCGAGATTCACTGGAGAAGTATACAATGTAGGTGTCATTCTGATCCTTAGCCCTTTGCTTTCCTGTGGAAAATTCAAGGTTTACATTGTTTCCGGTTCCACTGTGTTACCCTAAAGATACCCTTAGGGCTTAACCGCCTAGAGACACTGAGAAGCATCCATGCTATGTAGAAAAAGGATTTTTCAGATTCAAGTTTAGTAAATATGAAGTCAAGTACTGTTTCCCACAGATGCACAAATTCCCACAGAAAACTCTTGGGTCTGTTCAAACTCTCCCTTTGTGGTTGAGAGTTAAGCCTGTCAATGAATGGTGGTGGGGAACGTGGAAGACAGCAGGAACCCTAATGAAATGCTCAGAGAGATTCGATTCTTTCAAGCTTGCATGGATCTGAAATAAATCATATTAATAGATGCTTTTTTTTCCCTTTACAAAGCAATTTAAGTTGAACTAAGCTGTAATCAGTTGGTAAATTGATAATTTACTTCCATATATCTTTCAACAATTGTACTTTTTATATCTTCCATAGATGTGTGTGTATGTGTGCATGTGTGTGCTGTGCATGCTTTCTTTTAAAAAAAAAAGTTTCAGTGGTGATAACATGCATTATTTCAGTAAAGAAAGAGCTCTGTGACTTAAGCTTGCAAGGTATAACAGCTAATGAGGAGATGAAATTTAACATACTAAATTTTTTTAAATAACATTTTGTATACTTTCATATTCAATGTGGATTCATCCACATCTATGTAGAGACTACTATAGATTTCAAGTTACATAACCTTTATCTTGACAATGGACTACCATTATTCACTGCTTTGCATTGTAATATTATACTATAGAGACAACAAATTTGTAATCATTCAGGCAACCTTTATGTTGTATACAGATCCATCGCTTATACGGGCCCTGACATATATTAGCTGTATGAATGACCAGTTAAGCCTCTAAAGTCTGTTTATCTGTGCATAAAATATGATTTATAATTTATTCTTTATGGTAACATGGTATAAACACAATAAAATGTATGAAATGCCAAATTATTACTAAGCACTAATTTGATTACACATTTATTCTCCCACACTGTCCATACATTATCAATTTTACTAATTAGTCTTTTAACCTAGAGTTAGGGAAAAAAAGAGAACCATATTATCTTTTCTCTTTGCCTTAATCTAACCAAAAAAATGCATTTTTTTTTTTTTTTGAGATGGAGTCTTGCTCTGTCACCCAGGCTGGGGTGCAGTGGTGCGATCTCGGCTCACTGCAAGCTCCACCTCCCGGGTTCAATGCATTTTGAAAATAAACATATTTCCTATACATTTTGTACAAAAGTAATTTCAAAAAGAAATAAATTCACTGAATCTGAATATTTCTCTTTCCTCCTGTATTTGTTGATTTTTTAAACCCTAGTATAGGACTCTTTTTGAAGCAAGTAGAAGCTCAAATGATGTTGGCTTTTTTTTTTTTGTATTTACACTGAAGAAATAAAAGTGTCCTTACTGTATTTGTTGATTTTTTAAACCCTAGTATAGAACTCTTTTTGAAGCAAGTAGAAGCTCAGATGATGTTGGCTTTTTTTTCTTTTTTGTATTTATACTGAAGAAATAAAAGTGTCCTTACAAAGGTTTAAAATAGAGGTTTAAATTCCCAGGATTACTTATTATTCAACTTCCTGGACAGGGATGTATAAACTGTTGGCTTATGTCTTACAGTAGAATATCACAGGATTCTAAAAATATTGCATGTTTCCAAAGAAGGATACTGTTCTTTAAATCTACAAAAAAAAAAAAAAAAATCCCAGGAGACATCTTGAGCAGAGTTTTCTAAAGAAGAGCAATGCTTCAGTATTCTACCAGCAGAGACAGAACTAGAAGTAATTTGGAAACTACCAACAAGGCAGCCTATGGCACTCAACACAGCCCCAGCTGCTACTACTTCAAGGCGTCATTCCATCCTTGCCATTCAGATCTTTCTGCTACTAACTGAAAGGAAAGAGGGAGACATGGAAAATCGGGTTTAAGTCAACTATAACTATGCTTTCTATGTTTAAAATTATCACAATGTAGTTTTAAAATTTTAATAATATTTCTTTTCACAAAAAAATTGAATAACAAAGGCTTTCCTTCCCAAAATGTCTTTACCTTTATAATGAAACAAGCTGCCTATTATCTATTTAATTGTCATGCATACATTTATATACATATACAATAGAAATATTTTATCTATTATGATAATAAGATGAACAACTATCTTTATCAATCAATTTGTTTAAGATAAATTTCCCAGTCAGTATTAGCAACCTAAATTTCCATACCACAAGCATCTCTTATCTAAATATGTTTCAATACAACTTTTATGGCAAGCCAGATAAAGAAAATTTCATGAGATCACAAAGAAAAATGAAAGTGTGAAATAGAGCAGACAATGTTTGGCCCCATGGGCGCCATGGGGTTAATAAAGTTCCAAGTGGATCAACAGACTCCCTACGTAAATCCACATCATCGGATTCCTGCAATGGAAAAGCACTCACAGTGGTTAAACTGTCACATTAGAGATGCTTCTAGAATGGGTAATGCTGTCAGAGCTAGAAGTCAGATCTGCAACAAATGTTGGGAAGGATGTCATCAGTCTTTTTTTTAAAAAAAGTCACAAGTTTTCCTTTTTGATCTTAAAATAGTTGGTGAACAGTAGGCCAACTACCCATTAATCCACCTGTATCTCCAAATCCAACTTATTTTGTGGCTATTATTTCTAGGACTACCAATATCTATGTATCTGAGTGTTACCTTCTGTAATGTCATGGATGATAATGCCTCTTTATGCTCACTCACTCAAGGCTAAGCTAGAACTATTACTGAAGGAGTTAGGCCGTGAACAACACCTGGGAAAAATAGTGAAGAATTCAAGTAATTCTTTGAGGCTGAATGTATGAATTTTTGTCGCCATAGCCATGAATGTCAATTTAGAAAGATCAAAATCTGAATCAAATATCCTTTCCAGATATCTTCTACAAATCACTCGCTAGCTGCATGAACTCAGTAAATACTTTCCAATTCTGAGTCAGTTTGCTTTTCTTATAAAATGTGGCTAAAAATTACCTGTTGTATATCGTTTGACCCAGCAATCGCATTACTGGGTATATACTCAAAGGAATATAAATCTTTCTGTTATAAAAACACATGTATGTGCATGTTCATTGCAACACTACTCACAATAATAAAGACATAAAATCAACCTAAATGCCCATCAATAATGACACACTGGATAAAGAGAATGTGGTGCATATACACCATGGAATACTACGCGGTCATTTAAAAAAAAATACCTAAGGGCCAGGCACAGTGGCTCATGCCTGTAATCCCAGCATTTTGGGAGGCCGAAGTGGGCAGATCATCTGAGGTCAGGAGTTTGAGACCAGGCTGACCAACATGGAGAAAGTCCCCCATCTCTATTAAAAATACAAAATTAGCCAGGCATGATGTTGCATGCCTGTTATCCCAGCTACTCATGAGGCTGAGGCAGGAGAATTGTTTGAACCCAGGAGGTGGAGGTTGTGGTGAGCCGAGATTGTGCCATTGCACTCCAGTCTAGGGAACAAGAGCTAAACTCCATCTCAAAATATAAAAGAAAAAAATTGAGACCATGTCCTTTGCAGGGACATGGATGGAGCTAGAGGCCATTATCCTTAGCAAACTAACACAGGAACAGAAAACAAATACAGCATGTTCTCACTTATAAGTGGAAGCTAAATGATGAGAAAACATGGACACATAGAGGGAAACACCACACACTGGGGCCTTTTGGAGGGTAGAGGGTGGGGGAGGAAGATCAGAAAAAATAACTAATGAGTACTAGGCTTAATACCTGGATGATGAAACAATCTGTGCAAGAAACCCCCATGACATAAGTATACCTATGTAACAAACCAGCACACGTACCCCTGAACTTAAAATAGAAGTTAAAAAAGGAGAAAATCCATTCAGAATAGTTACTGTAATGTTGTGGTTAATAAATATTAGTCATTGCTTTTATTAAAAGGAGGCATTTTGCAAACTCTGGGCTCACTCCCAGTCTTCCTCAGATTAATGCTATTTCCTCAATGTCCTATTCTATCCCAATTGCCTCTATAATTAAAATTCTTACTATCATTGTAATGAAAAGTGTTGGCAAATGTTTAAACTATTTCTATTCTTCTTTTCTGATTTTTATAACAAAGGCAATTTGGATAATTATTTACAAAACTGTGCAAAATACCTCCTTTAAAATAGCATTTTTATTAAGATGCCACAAAAATTCTGCTTATGTCAGCAAAAATCCTTAAAGAGCACAGTTTTGCTAATAGGAAGATGCAGCATATGTCTACACTCTGTTAATCAGGAACCTAAATATAGAAAAGGAAACAAACCGTATATGTCATGAAAATGAGAACACAATCTAAGATATTTGCCAACTTAACAAAATATAAACTGTAATATATACTTCACTATTATATATACACACATATACATGTATATACATACATACATGTATGCATACATAAAAATACAAGCAATATATGTAATACAGAGTTTTCTTTTCTTTCTTTCTTTTTTTTTTTTTTTTGGACAGAGTCTCCCTCTGTTGCCCAGGCTGGAGTGCAGTGGGGCAATCTCAGCTCACTGCAACCTCCAACTCCCAGGTACAAGTGATTCCTGTGCCTCAGCTTCCTGAGTGGCTGGGATTACAGGCATGCACCACCACGCCAAGTTAATTTTGTATTTTTAGTACAGATGGGGTTTCACCATGTTGGCCAGGCTGGTCTCAAACTCCTGGCCTCAAGTGATCTGCCTGCCTCAGCCTCCCAAAGTGCTGGGATGAGCCACCACGTGAGCCACCACAACCGTGAGCCACCACGACCAGTCTATATAGCTTTCTATAATCCACATTAGTTTTTCTTTAATCACATTAAACACAATTATATTTACCAAATTGATTCTATAGTATGAAATAAAGGCACAGAAACAGACTCAATCTTCTGAATATATTATTCTGCATGTTGTGAGCCAGACATTTATATAAGTATTTTGCAAATTATAGTTGACAGATGCCAATTATCTTAATAAAAGAAAAAAAATTCTTTTAAAGAAAAATATAATGGAGGATAAATCAAGTTAAATTGTTCTTCATTGTCGTTAGATTCTGTAAATAACATATGGTGTGCTACTAACTGAAATATAATTACCAGTTGTATGATTGTATTTGTTCATATTATCCTATAATTTTTGCAATTTTAGACTAACACAAGTAACTTAGTTTTTAATAGAACATTTATCCTTTATTTACATATTTTTAAAGCATTTCATTATAAAATTAACATTGTGTGTTACTAACGTGATTCTATCTTTTCCTCCGTCCCATCCCCTCTCTCAGGAGTACAGTGATAGTGCCATCAGTGCTATCATAGGGACATGTCTGAGGTGTTCTGCAAGCATGGAAGTAAAGTACTCAGTGTTCCCTCTTGAGGGAGTCAGGAAAGGAATCAAAGAAGAAGTAAAAACTGAGATTTGGAGACACAGTAAAAACCTGTGAAGTACACAAGATTTCAAAGAGTAAAAGCTAGAAGGAACAGTGTGTGTAAAGGCAAATCATTATGACAGACTTTGGCCCATGAAAAGAAATTCCCTGTGACTGGTTTGTAGACAATGAAGGATCATGTATGCCAAAATTTAAAGTTTCAGTTTTATTGTATACAGAGAGTTTTTAGGGACTAGTTTTTAACTAGACAGTGACAAGATCAGAGATTGGATTAGAAGGGTTAAGTGAATCTGAAGAGAGAAGTCCATAACATAAGATATCTGAAGATAGAAGTCCATAAGATAGAAGTAAATAACACCACCTTATAAGGTGATATTGGGGATTATATGAGTTAATATTTGTGAGATACTTAGAACACAGCTGGCATATAATGATCTGTGTCAGAATTATATATATGTGTGTGTGTGTGTGTCTGTGGGGGGTGTGTTTTCAACTAAATTAAATATATATACATACATATGTGTGTGTGTGTGTGTGTGTGTGTGTGTATATATATATATATATATATATGTTTTCTATTATATTTAAACTATTTACCAGAGAAACTCATTCTCATGCACATTGCTTTCTTTTATTCTAGAGATACATCCAGTCACACACAAAATATTAAGTATGCCTTCTGTAAATACTCTTATTTTCAGTATGGTGCGTCACCTCTGTTCTCTTCCTTCAAAGGTTTTCTTGGATTTTCCCAAAGAATAAACATCTTAACTTTTGCCAGAATCTGCGAAGAGCGATTGCGTGGATGCAGAGGTGAGTCAGTGGGATCGCAAGGTCTAGCTCTTCCCTATAACGACCTTTAAGTCATTACCCACTCATGTCTTCCAAAATACCAAATATCTCCACTTATTGAGCCTTTGGTGTCCTGTTTTGTGTTCCTTGTAAAAAGCACTTAGGTCTTCTTGGCTTTTCTAATCCACTGAGTCATTTGCCACTGCCCATATATTTCCCAGGCCATTTCTTAAAAATCTTATAATAAACATTCATTTGCTGTTATCTTCTGTCCCTAAGTCTCTTTTTCCTTGTAGGTTTGTACAGTTCAAAATTCATTTGCTTTTAGTTTAATAAGAAACTCAGAAAGGGGGTAGAGATGTGTTCAAGTTAATTTGTTAAACAAGAATCCTTTATTTGCTTTATTCAGGTGAAGAAACTAAGTCTCAGAGAAGTTAAACAACTTATCATTTACACAGCTGATAATTGGCCATGGACAAAATTTATTTTAGATATACCCACCTACAAGGCAGTTTTCTCCTGTCCCACACTTATTTGAACAAGACCAATATGACTTTTTAATGAGAAAACCAAAATGATTATATCCAGGGCATGTATCTCTAATCAGTAACAACTGAAAACAACATTTGAGTCAACAAATTGTATGGACCAATATAATTCAAGGCAATTGTTTGTGATAATAAAGAAACAAGTACAATGCCTAGGCCACTTGAAACCTTAACTCTGTGATTTTATCTCTATTTGAGTTTTTCTTCACTTACTGTTAAAAATAATTGTAAAATCCGGCTAAGTTCTCAAAAGACAAACTGAAAGAGCTCTCATGCTGATAACAGTAAGAATGGTAATGTATCATCTCGGCATGGCACTGCTTGGAACTATTTCAGTAAACAGGATAAAGCTATGTTAGACTAGAAAAACCAGGGCCCTCCTATGACCTTTATAGGAGCCATACAGTGATTATGAGAAGCATGGCCATAAAACTACCTTTATAATCATAAAAGGTTTTGCGTCATTTGAAGCTGCACTATGGATATGGCTAAGAGAGATTTTTTTTCTCTCTCTCCCTCTTTAGTAAAGCCCTTCAGTAAGTGGTATTTCAGTAAAAAGTACACGAAAGAGTTCTGGGTTTGAGATAGTCTCATTTCAGCAGCTGCAATGTCAAATTTATAATTGTCCACATAAACAATTCAAATATATCTGTTTACTCTACATGTACTCATGGAACAAAAAAAGGCTTGTATCATAAAATTCTAAAACCCACAAGCTTTAGTTCTTCTGTCACATCTCAGTGGGTTTAATATCCTTCTGCCATATTATTTACGACTTCACAAAAAAGCAGTTATTTCCTATTATCTGTTCAATAAATATGTAGAGAAATGCAGGCTGCAGAGATACAATTTGTTAATGAAATAGCCCAGAGAATATTCACGGTGTCTAGTCTCAGAAGCTTGTGCAGCAACTATTAAAGCTTGCTTCAGTTCTAAAGAGTAATTCCAATTTTACACGTTGATATGTTCCACTCAGATGGCTGAGGCATGCTTTCTGAATAGAATATGCAACATGAGTAATGCATGCTGTGATACAACATACATCTGACCACACAGGCACATCTAAACACTTTACTTGTTGAACACTGTTCTATTACTGAGAAGACGGTCTCATTTCAGAAATGAGATGGATATGGAACTTCCAGTTCTTGGAATTATTTTCAAGAAGAGAAAGGCATCTTGCTTGCTGTAGTTCTTAACCAATTTTCACAACACTGTGAATACACTATGTTCAAAATATTTTGTACAAGTTTCAGAAAACCTGTAAGCTAGTCACAGGTAGGTATATCACTGTCCCCAAATTTGTATACTTTTACCACCTTGTAAAACAGCATCAAAAAAGCTCTCATTTGCTATTTTCTAAAAAATTTCACTTTATGCTGAAAATTCCCCTCACTGAAAAAATAAATAAATACTAGAAAAATACTAGTTATTATTCCCCTTATTTGATGTGAAGGTTTTTTTTTCTCTACATAAAAATGAAGTTAAACAAAGGGGTTTGTGTCTATTAGATAGAAAAAAATGACATCAGAGTTTGGAAAAAAATTGTAGATTGGGGAAAATATTATATTAGACATGAAAATCTACTTGTAATCTAACACAGCATAAATTTTAAAAGCAAACGTATGAATAAACTTTTACATTAATCAAAACCTTAGAGTGACCTAAGGCTATTTAGGCCTGAATAATCTTTCTTTTTTACAATTTAAAATGCAGTTTAATTTCCTCAAAGAATAAATATCTTATCTTTTGCCAGAGTCAGGGCAGAAGAGCTGCTTGGGTTCACAATCTGTATGACAGACCATAGTCCAATACTCTGTGGATAGTCACTATATCTGTGTTTCACTAATTTTGATACTGAATATCATTTATGAACTAATAATATTCTCTTGAATTTTAAAAAAAATATTCAATTGTATTAAATGCAGTTAGAGAATGCTCAAGAGAAATATGATAACGGTATAGAAGTCAATATTTGAAAAAGCTCTATATACACACATAAACATGGAGTTTCATAGAGAAAGTTTTTGAGGAATATGATAATTATTAGTCGATTTTGAATATGGCTTTATAAAATTAGAGATATTTTTGCAAACATATCTTTTTTTATAATGGTAAGAAGAAATATCACTAATTATTTATATTAAACTATTTGCATAATCAGTGTGACCAGAATCATTTTTGGGGTATTCCAACTTGTTTTGTTTCACTGCCATCTAAACTTTGCTGTTTTGTCTATTTTTTAAAAAATTAAAGCTTCATTTAATTCATTATTGAATTGTTTTAAACAAAGTACCACAAGGAGCTCAAAACAAAGTCTAAACCATTGTTCAAAAATATCAGTTTTAAAGAAAAAAATCAAGGTTGAGTTTGAGAAAGAAATAAAGTTGATTACTAATAAATAAAGAGAAATATGGTCATAAAAGATCTAAAAACTTTGTATGGCTATGTCTAATTAAGTGCTGTTTTACGGAGGAGGTGGGATTGAGATATATACCACAATGTCAAGGCAATATAGGATTTCTGATGATAAGGTAAGAGACACAAAATTCTTGGTGGAGGATCCAGCTAGAGAAAGTCTTGAATGCAGGAAACAGTCACAGCTACAACTGACTGTATGTCCACTCTATGCTAGCCATTTTACCTATGTTATCTGAACAAATTTTCAAACAATTCTACTGTAAAGCCATTTATCCCCACTTGAAGATTAGTACCATTCTCATAGATGTTAGGAAACTTGCCAAAGGTGAAGCCAGGTAAGTCTGAGGAGTCTCATACACTGCATTGTCACAAGGGTTTGGACCCTTAAAATGGATTCAAAATCAGCATGTTGAGAACTTGCTCACCAAATCAAAGTTCAGTCAGCAATAATGAAGTCTGTTGCTAAGAGTTTATAAATACTGTAATTCTACATAATACCTCTGGGAAAACCTGGCCTATGCTTGGGACAGACACATTTGGATTCAATTTGCAGAGAAGTACCACTTAAAGCTTGAAATCCAGGAAGAAATACTTGGGAGGGTTGGGAAAAGAAAGGAATCTGTAGACCCTTGCAAAGCCACTGAGGATTTTGAATAGGAAAATGTAAAATGCAAATAGCAATGTGCTTTGAAAGACACATTTAAAAGATGTGTTTGAGAATAAGGGAAACTGAATGGGAAGCAAAAGTAAACAGACAAAACAAGTAAGGCTTTATCATTGCTTCATTAAGACTTACGGGAAAAAATCCCTCATTGTCTCTCGGTTGAAGATATGTCACCTACTTAATTTTATTGCAGGTTGTCTCCTTTTTTACTTTACCTTACATCTAGCCATCTCTTCATGGAGACTTCAGGTGAGATAAAATGTCATAGCAACATAGCTAGGCCCACAAGAAAAAAGTAAAATATGAATTTATGTCTGGTTAAACTTGGGCACATTTTCAACAGAACAGTTTGAACCTACAGCCTCATAATTTTCATGCTCTTGAAAAAGACACTTGTAAAATTATTTTCTTGCTACTTTGCAAAGCTCTGGCTCAGAAAATTACTACCCTTTTGATGTGAAGGCTGATATAACTAATTATAGCTAGGAAGACACAATTCTTCCTTTAATAATAAAGAAATAGCAATCTTTCACCTAGAATAGAACAGTGTCTGGATTTGAAGCATGAAAGATTAAATCAGTAAGCTTTGAAATTCTATTATATTCAGAGAGACAATGTCTCCAAGGACAATAATATTGACAATAGAAGAAGGTTTCTTCAAGAGCATTTCAACGTATTAGCAGACTCGGTGCAGTGAAAACAATGCCGAGCTGGAGATGAAGAGACAAGTATTCCTATCGCCTGCCCAGGCTCTCTTAGGAATCACCAGAATACTTAGGTCAAATTAGGCGACTTCTCTAATTTAACAACAGTGCAATGGCTAGTTTCAACCACCAATTCGCAAAGAAGAAAGGAGGAACAGAAAGGGAGGAATAGAGAGAGAAGTAAAGATGTAGAAAGAGATTGTGAAAAAGAGGAAAGAAGAGAAATATGGAAGGAGAAAGAGAGAGAGTTGCTAATTTGTATTTCAGTGCTTTTTAACCTTAACTGGCATCAGAATAAGCTGGAGTACACGTTAAAACGAAGATTGATGAGCCCCACCCACCATTTTTGATGCAGTCTATCTGGTGTGGGGCATGTTAGTAAGCATTTCTAACAAGTTCCCAGGTGATTGATGCCAATGCTGCCGGCATGGAGGCCACACATTGAGGATTGTGTTATAGGTCTCCATCAATATGCAGTCTCACCAAGAAAAATCTTATGTAATTCAGTTTGGTCTTTACATTGTTAAGAAAATTGTCTCAGAAACCATCTTTCCAAAGGTCATTACATATTCTGTGTGCTGTATATTCTTTAGTTTCAAAATACCGAACTTCCCCTTCCTATATATTTGTTAGAATCATTATTAGGTATATGTTTGCAATGATTAAATAGATGTGCTCTCTACTTCTTCACATATAAGACATGCTAAAAAAGAACAAAATCCAAAAGCCCTGGGGAGCAGTGACATTTATGCTGATGTGGTAGTGACAGATTGGCCCTGAAGATCTTATCCTACCATACTAACAGGCATTCTCGTTCATTGCTGGTACAAGTATAATTTGGTCTAGTTGTTTCAGAATAATTTTTGACACTCTCTGTCAAAAGCTTCAATAATGCAACTAAAGGCACCATTGCAAGCACAATTAATAACAACAGTAATTGAGCACTAACTCTATGCTGGTCACGTGGCTAAATGTTGTACATGTGTTATGATATTTAACACTCCCCACAGCCAGAAGAGAAGGAAAAAGATCCCACTGTGCTTTTTGTTGGTCAGTTCAATATTTTCCTGTTATTCACTTGTGCTGTCATTATTTTAAAGGATACATTGACAAACAGAAGAAAGATATGTATACACATTCAGAATGAGAGTAGAGAGATACATTCTCTCTTTCACCCACATAAGGATGATTAGGAGAGCAAAGATTTAATTTGTCTTCTGCTGCTCTGGATGAACATTCTTGAGAATAGTTTTAAATGTTGGAATGTCCAAAGAGAGCATGAAGTTGGGAAATGCACTTCCCCAAATCCTGCTGAAGTAAAAATTTTGTCTTTGGCAGAATATTGAGGATAAACTAACTTATTTTCTAAATATTACTTTGGAGGCTAAACATGATTTAAGATGATACTTTAGGAGAAAGCATATATGCTATACAGTTTTTCAAAGACAGGTATTTAATGATTTTATCTTTAACTTCTTAGATCTCTTCTTTCAAAAAAGAGAAATAATAGCTCTGTCTGAAAATACATTTCTGTACTTCTATGGCCAAAGATAGCCAATTTGTTGTTTCATAATATGTAGACACAGACCACTTTCACAATTATAGGTAACTTTGGTTGTGTATCTCTAGAAACAAAACTCATAATCTACTCTTTCTCAAATTCTGCAGTGTCTCTCTTCATAAAGTAATTATTTCACCTTTCTTTTCTGTAATCTATGGAAATGTTACTGACAAGACAGTTTTTCTAGTCATTTTGACTTGTAATATCCATCTCTCACCTTTTTTTTTATAACAACTGTCTGCCAAACAAAGTAAAATTTATTAGCAATAGAACTTTGAATTGTATAATGTAGTACAGGTAACAAAGTGAAGTGTAAAGGATAGGGATGAAACTGAGGTTCTAATATTTTGCTTTTAGTTCCATCTCTGTCTCTAAATGTTGTGTGACCTTGTAGAGATCATTTCACATTTATATATTTCATTTTGTCCATATATAAAATGAGAGCATTAGACAGGTAATCTCTAAAATCTACTCAAGTTCACTGAATTAGTGATTCATTCTGAAAATCTGGCTTTGGTCCTAAGATAGGTACAGGTTGAAAGGTAGTCCAGATAAGACCACTGAAAAATTCCTCTTTCAGAAATATGTTTTTAAATACAGTTTGTACACAAGTCCTAACAAGAAGAATTTTATATTGTGACACAAATGAAATAAATAAGTTGTTTGTATATCACTCTTTTAAATTCCAACATTTTAACCATATATAAAACATCGTTCAGACACCCTTTTAATAGTGTGTTTAATGTGTTATTTAATAATACTGGCCAGGCACAGTGGCTTATGCCTGTAATCGCAGCACTCTGGGAGGCCAAGGCAGGAGGATGGCTTTAGCTCAAGAGTTTGAGGCTAGTGTGGGCAACATGGCAAACTACCACCTCCCCGTCCCCGTCAAAAAATACAGAGAAATTAGCCAGGCCTGGTGGTGCACACCGCTAGTCTCCAGTATTTGGAAGGCTGAGGTCCAAGGATCGCCTGAGCCTCAGAGGCGTACGTTGCAGTGAGCTGAGATCACAACACTGCACTCCAGCCTGGGCAAAAGAGTGAGACTGTCTCAAACAACAACAACAAACAAACAAAAAATCTTAAAGTGCATAGTTCATGCAAATAATTCACTTATTCTATAAAAGTAATAATGTAACTAGATAAGTAATTACATAACTGGTTTGAACTTTTAGGGAGTCTTCACTACTGATATTGATTATTGTGGATGAATTAACTAGGTAAAGATCTTTATATCATATGATGTACATGTAAATATATAATGTAGATGATAGGATCTCACAGTAACATGTTAAAATATTAATGTGTCTGTAGCTTGGTGTTCCATTTTCTAACAAGTAAACTAAAAATATAGAAATGAAACATATAATGCAGGGATATTGAAATCATACATATGATTCCAGAAAACACGCATTTTGGAAAAAAGTTATCATATGGTTACCTCTTTCAATTCTCTATGTTCTCTTAGGAAGGTATTATAGGGGTGATGCACAAAACGATGTCAGGAAAAGTATTTTTTCATTCTTGTTAATTATTTTAAGGAAGATTTAACTTATATTTTCTGTTTGAATCTTAGCTCACACAAATGCCTCCTTTAAGCTCACAACTCAAGCACAATTCTTAAGTTGAAAAAGTTCAAATATCATTGAAATAATAAAATTTTCGTATATTTTGTGGAAGTTACAATATATTATTCCTCAAAAGAAACTAGGCTGCCATGCAACCAGGCCCAACAATGTGGCAATATTCATAGTATTTATTTATAAAAAAGTATGCAATTCCAGAATTAAATAAATCTGCAGGAATCTAGCATTTTATTAAGACTGAAAAAAAAACCCTGCAAACCTTTAAGGCCTGTTAAAGATTTTAGATGGCGACTTATCAAAAACATAACTTTGAGAAATATGGCAGGAGAAATTCGACATTTACCTGATAACAAATTCTACTTCATTTGTTTACTGAGGGGAAAATGCCAGTGGTTACAGAATATGTATGTTTATTGCTCAAAAGCAGATGCTAATATCTGCTAAGCAGATTTCCCATGATCTTGCCTAGAAGTGAAAGAGTGGCATAGACTATGTAAAATGAAGATAACTATAGTAATATTACCTACCTCAGAATCTTGTTGTAGCAATTGAATTAGATAATTTTTGTAGAACATTTAAAACAACATTTGGCCCATAGGTAATATTATAGACATTTTAGTTATTATTTGTTATTTGTTATTGTTTTATTGTTGTATATAATTCATCAAGAAAAATGGAGATATTTCTACAGATTCTTATTTGGCTGTCCAGGTGTGTATTACAACTTTGCATTATAACTTTTGAAGCCCTGAGGACTTTTACCTTTGTGGGCCCCTTTCCCCCTTAAGCAATTAAAAATCATACTTTACAACTGTATTGGGGCAAAAATGAGCATATTAATACTA
The DNA here is from genome assembly GCF_000001405.40 of Homo sapiens. Classification (NCBI taxonomy): domain Eukaryota; kingdom Metazoa; phylum Chordata; class Mammalia; order Primates; family Hominidae; genus Homo; species Homo sapiens. The sequence continues at coordinate 120,300,901 of NC_000007.14, read as the reverse complement.
AATAATAATTTCTTGACCTAAAAGTTCAGTTTTTCCTTCTTGTTTTAAATGTAAGAAAACTATTTTCATGAATCCTTTAAAAGTAATACGGGCCACAGACACTGTGCCTAGTGTGTCTTAGGGCAAAGTTGGCCTATAAAAATCAGAATCTTAGGGAAGATGGAGAATATGGAAGAGAAGAGATGTTAAGTGTCTAGATGATCATAAAAACTTTCACTCTAATTACAGTTACTTTACATTTTGTTAGATTAATGAGAATATTTTATAATGCATCAATCGCTATAAAAATAACTTAATCAAGAATATAATTTTAGATCTGTTCACTACTCAGTGTTTTTTCCTCTGAATAATATCCATGTTCACTATATATTTTAAACACAAACAATATGCTTCAGATAATTTTGAAATGAAAACAATATACACCAGTATTCTTAAAATAGGAATCAAAATGCTCTTTATTTTCTAAGGTTTTCTGCCAAGACAGCAATCAGAATGCAAATCCAGAGCTTAAAGATATTAATATAAATGTATAATCCATTCCTATGGACATACTAGTTAGTTCCTTCATGTATTTGCTGCAAAGAGTTCATCTAGGGTTTTGACTTCCCCTGAACACCTGTATTTTCTGGACACAACACAGTGGAAGCATAAAATTATAATATCTCACTAATATGAATTGGTCAATTCCAAATTAAGTCAATCTAATGGAGTGAATCTCTTCCAAACTGTTCTGAAAAAATTGTGTCCCTTACCAGGTATTTTATACAGCCTGGTGTCATTGTCCCACTCAATGTCACCAACCTCTTTTGCAATAGTTCTTCCTTAAAGTTAACTTTGCTAAAACCTAGGACATATCCTTAAAAATTTCTTCATGTTTATTGGCAGAGCTCTGGCTATATATACTATAAATAGTAATAATATATGCCAAAATAATCATCTATTTCTACAACAAGGCAGAAAAGTCATTCTATTTCAACATTACTCTTCAAAGAAAACCTTACTATTGGGAACTTAATACTTCATATTTTCTGTCAAAAACCTCTGGATCAGCCACTTTGCAAGTAGGCCTGGCTATATTCAGGCTTGGAAAAAAATAATTTTATGTGGAAACTACCAAGAAATCTTTTCAATGACGAGTATCACAGGACTTTGCCTCTTTTCCTTTCTTCTTTCTACTCTGTGGAACGCAGATGTTATATGTGGAGCTCGATTAGCCACCTTGATCATAAGGTGAAAATCATGTTTCATTTGGCAGAGAACTTGATGAAAGAAGCCTCTGTCTCTGATGAAGAAATAACCAAAGCAGCTCTAGAATATCAATTTTATTTGAGAAATAAAGAAATGTCTCTTGTTTAAATAATTTTTAGTTTTAGGTTTTCTATTACTCATAGCTGAACCTAACTCTAAACTATATAGATGTTATGCTTGGAAATGAGCGACTATTATTAAAAGAACAAGGTAGTGAAAACTTTAGACATCCAGGAGAACTTTCACACACAAGTCATACCACACACACACACACTCACACAAAAGAATGGTGAAAATCTGGTAACAATAAGTCTCACTTCCTATTAAACTGTTAACTCACTGATCGTGACTCATTTATGTTAGTGAATGGCATCTGTCTACTTATTTCTTTTACCAGACAGTAAAAAGTGGTAGTAAGAAAATAATAATAACAAGCAAGACTAAATGATATACTTTACTATTAAGCAGTGAATCCATTCTCAATTTTTTTTTTTAGACAGAGTTTCGCTCTTATTGCCCAGGCTGGAGTGCTGTGGCACAATCTCAGCTCACTGCCACCTCTGCCTCCCAGGTTCAAGTGATTCTCCTGCCTCAGTTTCTTGAGTAGCTGAGATTACAGGCATCTGCCACTGCCCCCTGCTAATTTTTTGTACTTTTAGTAGAGACGGGGTTTCACCCATGTTGGCCAGGCTGGTCTCGAACTCCTGACCTCAGGTGATCCACCCACCTCGGCCTTCCAAAGTGCTGGGATTAAAGGTGTGAGCCACCGCGCCAGGCCTCCATTCTCAATTTCTTTACTTACAGTTGTGATTCAGCAAGAACCAACGCAATAACAGGTAAAGCGTAAGACTTCGCTACACTTTCTAATAGTAGTGCTCAAATATTACTAATTTGCATGAGTAGAAGAAAAATGGATTTTAATTCTCTGTGTAGTTTTTCCAAGATTAGGCTTTGACGGCAACATTTCTTACTTTGGTCTAACATCTATTGTTTTGAATTCAGTTAAGAAGACACTAAAATAAATGTTTAAATCAATGTTCTTATCATAGAAAACTTTTTGTGACTGGTTCTCAACACTTATTTTTAGAGATTATTAGCAGGAACACCAGAAATGTATGGCTGCATAAAGAAGCACTTCCAATCATCCATCATCCAAATAACACTGATATTCAATTTAAAATCATGAACACATCAATCACCAAACACCTGGACTGAAAAGTACAGTTGGTCAAAAATTTTAGTCACTAGACTGGTATAGTTCACATTTCTGGTTCTTCTCAATGTGAAAATCTACTATAGTTTTCAATACCATCATAACACAGTAACATAACTGGGATGTTCCAGCTAAATGAGTTCCCCTTTTGGTGACTGTTTACCATAAAATTAGCTAAGGAGAGGATGCGCCCTAGAGAAGTCTGTAATACCCGTGTGTAGAGAGACTCTTTTTTGATGTGTATGTCTGTGTAAGTTAATATCTCAATTATGCATCTTTAGAAATACAAAACTTAACTAGTCACTCTGTTAAGATGTAGTAACAAGAGTGGATCTATCCAACATAGCAGCTATTAGCCACATAGAACCATTTAAATTAAGATAAGTAATATTAAACAATATTACAAATTCAATTCCTCAATCACCCTAGCCACATTCCAGATGTTGAATAGCCACATGTATTTAGTGGCTACTGTACTGAACTGAACAAATGTAGACCATTTCCATCATCACAGAAAGTTCTACTGGACAGTGCTAAACTAAATTTTCAGGCATTAACACAGTTTGAAAGAGTACTAATTTAAAAATGCAAAGTTAATATTATTTACAATGACTTTTACTCAACAGAACAAACATAAAATCCAAAACAGTTCTCCAAAATATTTCAATTAGAGCACAAGAGGCTTGAAAATTCATGAGAAATCACAGCCATTTGTGAACAGAAGTGCATTTAACAAGTTAAATATAACAGAAGTTTATATGAGTAGAAATGTTTAAAACTTAAGTTTCTGAAAAATAATAATGATGCAGAGAAATTATTTTTAAATAATCTAAAAATAAAACTGCCATTCCATCTAGCAATCCCACTCTGGGTATCTGCTCAGAGGAAAAATAGGTCATTGTATCAACAAGATATCTGCACTCTTGTATTAACTGTGGCGCTATTCACCAAAACAAAGATATGAAATCAACCTAAGTGTTCATTGATGGATCACATACAGAAAATGTGGTATAGGTACACAATGAAATACTATTCAGCCATAAAAAGAATGAAATGATGTCTTCTGCAACAACATAGATGTAAGTGGAGGTCATTATTTTAAATAAAACAACTCAGACACAGAAAGACAAATACCAATGTTCTCACTTATATGTGGGAACTAAGTAATGTGTACATGTGGACATAGAGAGTGGCATGATAGACATTAGAGATGTCTATCTCATTGGACAGACATTTGGACAGATGGATAGACATTTGGAAGAGCTGGGGGGGAAGTGAATAATAATAAATCATTTAATAGATACAATGTACGTGATGTGGGTAATGGATACATATAAGTGCCCAGATTTCATTGCTACCCAATATATCCGTGTAACAAAATCACACTTGTACCTATAAAATTATACAAATAAACAACAAAATAAAAACAGATTTAAAGCAATATCATAAAAATATGTCAAATTAAAGCTTTAGCTAATAAAAAGAGTTGTGTTTATCATGCCTCCTTTTCATGTCAAAGCTACAATTCTTAAAAAAACATTGCTTAAAAATTCTTAGAAAATAATTGCTAAATGGATAAGAAGCATAGTGTTTTCAGCATTCTAATTGTTTATTCTTTGATTTTTAAATTGATATCTTAATTACAGATCTGGCTGTGTTTTATTCTACCCTAGCCAACATATCCAATGACTATTTCAAATGCCTGATGCTTAATTTCTCTAAATATTGGAAAACTGGTTCTCTTAGCAACTATGTATAATACAGTACTGCATTTAAAGTGATCTTTCCAATTGCTGTAATGAGTACCACTCAGAGAATGAGAATGACTATAAAGAATTCATTATTAGACCATTTTACTATGAACTAAAAAGGCTTTCTTAAGTAAACAATTACCATTCCCATATGATCATACTATTGGCACATATTGAATTCTGGTTTATAAAAATGTAATATAATGTGAAGCTAATTATTAGAACTAAGTCTTTCTCAGGAGAATTAATTGAAATAGAAAATTCATTTTTGAGAGATTAAATTGAAATAGGTATTTCCTCTCTCCATGGTCCTAGGAATTAAACTTAATGAGATCCAGTACTTAGAAACTTTGTGAAATTTTGTAGGACAAAAGTCACAATTAGAAGTATAACCTCAAACACTCCAGTTGGAAAAGCATGATATGTAAAACATAGCTTTCCAAAGTTGGAAGAAATGTCAACCCGAAATACAACACTTAAAATTTTTACATATCACACATAACTGAAATCCTGACCCTGCCAAAAGGAGACTGAATGACTATATATAAGTTTCCCAGCAGTAGAAAGAGATATGCCAAACTTTTCAATATGTGAAAAACATATTTAAATATGTAATACTATACATTAGAAAGTGTTCACATTTTTGTAGATTATACTTGAGTATTCAGTGTTTACCTCAAATATTCCCATGTACCTTTGTTGTGGGACTCCAGTCCAATTGTTTGTGAATTATTCCTTGGGAAATAATTAATAGTGACTGAATTTTGGAATGTCCCAACCCAAGATGGTAAGACTGTAGATAGAGGGGTGTTTAACAGCAGGGATTCTGGGGTCAGACTGACTGCATTTGAATCTCAGCTTCCCCTACACTTGCACCTCGAGTTTGCATTATCTCATCTGCAAAATAGTGAGAAAAATTTCACTTAATTCATAAAGTTTCTGTAAGGCATAAATTAGAGGATCCAGGTAAAAATCTTAGTAGAATTACTAGTAAATTAACACATAATAACAGGTATTTGTATATTATGGCTAAAAATATTCTCCTTATCCCTTTGATTTGCCATTCTCTCAATCTGGAATATTCTTCCCACTCTTTATTCCCATTCCTCTTGATAGCTCATATTCAACCTCAAATGCTTCATTCAGAATCTACCATTAGCAAGCCTTCTGTGAAACTCCTCACGAGATTTGGTTTCCCTCCCCAAGCACCATAATTTCCTGACATAAGTTTTATTACCTTACTCTTTGCACTGTAATGTAGAATGTGTGTGGGTGTGTTTGTGTGTGTGTGTGTGTCTGTGTGTGTGTGTGTGTGTGTGTGTGTGTGTGTGTGTGTGTGTGTTACTCTATGACATATTTTTTCAGGGCAGAAAATATGCCTCATTAATCGTTGTATCATTAACACTTAGAAAGAACATGGCCCAGTGTAGGCACTCAAATATTTGCTGAATAAATGAAAGAAGAGATCTTGATATTTTCTAATAACTACTGAAACAGAACATTACAATAATCTTGCAGCCAAAGCTGAACTAAACTGGTGTTTTATTGAATTTGCTTCCCTGGCATCAATACGAATTCTTACTGCTACATATTGAAAATCATTATCTACAAGTCAAGATAATTCCCCTTTATAAATAAAATACTGTGTATTTTCATCAAAACCAACATAAAACTCAGCAAAAAAATGTATTCAATGCCCAGAGTATCAGAACAAATGAAGTTAGATACACGTCCTGACCTTCAAGAGTTTCTAACCTAGGCAAGAGTAAAAGATAATTAAAGATACATTGCAAACATATTTTACTGGCATACACACATATGTATGTGTACATATGTGTGTATGTATATACATGTGTATATATGTATATGTGTGTATGTACATATCTTTATATAGATAGATGAAACATAAACAAGGTAAACATACAATAAGATGAATAAGTGTTTGGCTAATAAGAATATGTTTCTTCAAATCTATGTCACATTAATGATTTTTAAAAATTCTTTCATTGTAGGAATGGTTTTTAATCAAGACCTAATTAATGTTCAGTAAATTCTGAAACCATTCTAAGGTGCTTGGTAGAACCTATATGTATGTTCTCTCTAAACTTTCAGTTAGATAAAAATGTCTTTATAAATATGTAAATGTATTTCATAATCATAACTTTTTATATTATACGGCATTAATCAGATCTAGTGATTTTATAAATGAGATAATATAATAAATACAATTAATTATAGGAGAAAAATGATTACAGTTGTTAAAAATAGTGTTTAGCCATTTAACAAGGGTAAGCTGAAATGAATTTCATACTCGATAAATATATTCGTTATTGCTGACATGACCAATAAGCAATCCAGGTAAGAGTCTACAACTGTTTGTATTCAATATAAACTCAATTTCTAAAGTAGTAACATAATCAGTCCTTTCTGCTATAATGAATGTATATTTTAACCAGTCATGTATTATTTCAATGATGCTTGGACAACTTCAAACATCCAAAACATCTTAGAGGATTATTTCCTTCTGTACTAAGATGAAATAAACAAGCCTCCATGATCTACCCACCTTTTCACTAAATTATTTTAGAATGGTTGTATTGAGAATTGCTTTTTTATGTTGAGTGACTTCAATTAGAAATCTTAAACTTTGCAAATCACAAACGAATGCAAGAGTAGAATGTTATGGTGGTCTCTAAATATACTTCAAGAGCAGAGAATTTAGTTTTGTCATTGCTGGTTGTAACATACTTTGAACCAAGCTTTTTTAAACAGCATTTCTACATCTAGACTCACAGTTGACATTACAACTACTAATTATTTGACAAATATAAATAATTGTTGACCCTATGTGCTTCTACAGATAATGCACATGTTTGGGAGACAGAACTAACATCAATCATTTCTGAGTCACATTTTTTTCACTGTAAAATAAAGGTAACACGTTGTAGATTAATATATAATCAAAGACAATATATGTTAAGCAGAGCTGAGTATGGTGCAGACTCAGGGTAATTACTCATTAAGTGAGAGCTTCTGTGATAACGATGATAATAATGATGATTGCATTTCATCCTTTCAAATGAATCTGGTCAAACAAAAAGAAACAGGAAAGCCATATGTGTCTGACCCTTTTCCTCTGTCCATCCCAGTTGTCTTAATAGGCTTCATCAATAATGAGCCTCCTGGAAAGTGAAGGGAAAAATCATCAGAAAGCTGAATTATCCTCAGCCTCTGGTCAAGCAGAACCAGAACAGCACATGGGTGCCAGAACAATTCAATTAGAATTTGTTATAGAGTCTTCCTTCTCTTCTCCTTCCCTTCTGGGTTTTAAATGTCTGGTTGCACTGGGCAAATGCTTTCAGGTACAATGATCTGGACAAACACTTCCACTCATGAAGTTTCCTTTATAGCTTTTCCAGAAGAATATTGTCCATTGTGTATTCTGTTTAATTTTTGTAATCCAATTAAACAGACTAATGGAGACATTTGAGCCATGTAGCTAGGTAGCACACAAACAATACATTTTTATTAGTTCATGGAATGAAATTTACAAGAATTTCTTAAAAATATGGTAGAGTTTATTCTCAACTATGAATCAACAGTATAAAGAAAGGAGAGAACAGAAAGGTTTTATAGCATTTCAAATAAAAGTAAAAGACCTGATATTTTACCACATGACCCATACGAGTCAATGCACTTAGAATCTACTCAGAGATACAGAGTTGGTGTCATGGTAGGTCATGATTCCAATGTACTCTCTTCCAGTCAGATCAGCTTCAGAGGACTTGAAATTAAGGCAATAAGGAGGTCAAGAAATCACATTATACAACAAAAGTTTGAATGACTTAGGGAAGATAACCCCAGCAAAAAAAGCCTAAGGAGGAACATAATAGTTTTCTCCAAGTATCACCCTGGAAAGGATGTGAAAATGAAAACAATTTCAGTTTAACCTCTTAATACCTAATTTGAATAAATGGGTAATGTAGAAGGTGTACATTTCAGCTCAATTTTTTAAAACTTGATAAAAATTTGAGCTGTGCTGCAAAGAAATGGGTTGCCTTAAAATTCCAATTACACAGAATCTTTGAAAAGTTCATAGAAGGCCATATAAATGTAGAAAATACAGTAGAAAGAGAAACTTTAAATGGGTAGAAGATTGAACAGGGAAAAGTTTTCTCCAAGGAAACTTTTAATTTCAAGATCCTGTGATTCTCTGAAGAAAAAGAACTACCCACTTGAAGAATCTCACTTACAAGTCTATATCTGTGAAACATGTCACTAAATTTAAGTAAATATGATAGAATATAATGACTTGCCACTAAGGTGAAACAAAAGGTATTTGGATAATATTGCAAATGAATTAATATCAGTTAGGACAAAGACAGCATGGGCACTTAAAAAAATAAAAAGTAATATTTAAATCATTGCTTTCTTATCAGAGAAATGTGTCAAAATACAAATAGGACATTTACAGTGGTTAAATATTCATTTACTATATTTCAATATAATTATCTACAAAATGACAGATTTATATTACAAAAAATATGTAATACCAATGGTAATATTGCATTATTTATTATTTTGTGTTGCACATTATTCAAACTACAACAGAGATGGGGGATCTTAAACTGTTTGGGAAAAATACTGATTATGTTTTAGCAAAGAAATAAGAGACAGAAAAACAACAGGTATAGAAATCAGCTGAAAATTTAGTTTACATGTATCCTGGACATTTGCTAGGACAGGTTTAAAAGAAGGAAAGGAGGATTTGGCAGAAGGAAAATCAGGTTCAAATGTCATTGCAATTTCTATGTTCCTTGAGCTCTAATTTGACTACAAAAATTGATGGTTGACTTTTATTCTTTTCAACTCAAGAAAACAATTGGTCATTTCAGAGCCTTAAACAGGACCTCACAAATTTTCTATCATAAAAACATAAACATGTTTTTTAACTGCATCCAGGCTCTGTAGAATCAGCCAATGTGAAGAGTCAGGATTTAAAGTCACAGGTCTTTGGTTCAAAATCCCAGATCTGCACATAACTTAATCCCTTATATCTTTCTTCATAGTGTCATGTATATTCTATAGCACATAGAAACAGCACACTGGGTTAACTGAAATCTGGATTCTGTGTTTACCTGCTATGCTTTGTATATGACCGTGCATTTGTTGTTCTGTGTTTCTGGACATCATATTTGTTTGTTTCTGCTAAACAATTGTGTTCAAGTTGTTAAATTCTATTCAACACCTAATATACACCAATTTTTCAGATTATTAATAAATAATAATCTTAATGATGGCAAAAGATAGTTACAGAGTACAGTACTACAGACATAAAGTAATGCCATGTCAAATATCACAGATTTTTGGGGAGCTCAAGTGTTAAGACCATAAAATAAAGTTCAAATACCATCTAAGACAATCTGTTCCATCTTCCTGCTAAAATTATATTTCCATCTTCATAAATGAATCAAATTTCTATGCATAAAGATAATTTTTTCATTTTTATTTCATTTACACCAGTATTTATTGAGCACTTATGATGGGCAAATCACATAGATAAAATACAAATACATGAGCAAATATAATTTATAAATGGATTACTTGTGCCACAATGATTACTTTCAAATCCATTCATAGCAGAATTTATTAAGATTCAAAAAGTGACAACTGATTTCAGATTTTTGTTCAGTCAATATTCAAAAGATATGAGTGCCAAATAAATCTACTTACTGTGCCCAGAATACACTCTTCATTTTTCTGCCACTGAGATTTTGCTTATGTCAGGTAAGAAAATTTTCTTCTATCCCCAACCTACGGATAACAGCACTAATTGGTCATGGCACCCATTACTGGTGACCCTGTATATGCCTGAGAATTCTTCTCATTAGCCACATCAGGAAGCATCCAAATTTTAATAAAGTTGGCATGCAAGAAAAAAAAGCATATATATATATTTCCATATATGTGTAGCTCTTAATGTACAGGATATTGAATAATATGCCAGCTAGACAATATTCTATGTCTAATGGTAGGGGTTCCATTAGATTTGGAAATATTCTCCATATGGCTATTGCTTCCACTGATTGTCCAGAAAAGCCAAGGGTATAATATTTCCTGATGACATATAGCTGGAAATTATTGTTTGAAATTCATAAGAATGGTCTGGGACAGATATGTATAACTACGAGCCAATAGCATAGAGATGAGAAAAATAGCACAGAAATATAGGGGATTTCTTTCAATGGTGAAAGAGCATAAATAAGTATTTGGAAAAGAGTTTTGCAGAGGAATGAATCAGCATATCAAAAAGGTCTCAAAATTCTAAGTTTATTTCATGTATAATTATTTTAATGTATATTGACCTGAGGACTTTGCTTCTATGGGAACTTTATTTCTGTATGTAGGTAGTTGTATGTCAGAGGATATGTGGTTGAAGAAGTGGCTAGAAAGGGTTATGAGTGATATAAATTTCTAAAATTGAATGGACCTTTAAACTCTACAGTAAAAATAAAAAAAATCTTTATTCAGCATCCATGATCGGCAAAGCAATGTTCTAGGCATTGTTAAAAAATCTGTGGGGGAGATTTTAACTAAAGTGTGAAGCTCTTTGAAGAGAGAACTTTGTCAGCACGCATATTGAGGCAGCTTAAAACACAACAAGGCCCCAGATAGAGCATTATAAAATTATGAAATATTTATTTTCTTATTTGGTGCCTAGGGATACTACAAATAAGCAAAAACACAATGTGAGCTTCGAAACTACTTATTAAAATTAAATCGTATGTGTATTGCTTCAGTGAAACACTTTCCTCTAAACCAACTAAAATAAAGGTGAACAAGAATCATAGACCCAATTAAAATAGATGTTGGATGAAAAGTTGGAAGCCATTTTGTTTTTAATATTCCAAATTAAAAATGCAGGTCGATGCTTCCAAGCATGGTGTGTGTGGTACTTGGCTGACGTTTATGTCTGGCCTAAGGTGAAGGGAAAGAATAGCTGCTGTTTTTGGCAAGCCCACCGATCATTTCTGCAGGACAGTAGGAGGACATGTTTATTTTGTGGCTCAAGACTCGAATCTTTGGTAGAAGTGTAAGGTAGCTCTTACTGGGATACCTGAAAAGGGACATGAGATTAAGTACATAGGTTTTTCTTTTATTTTCCCTGTTATCCTCCCAGAAATACTTCATATTTCAAAATTCAGACTTGCTTCTCAGACCATGTTCTATTGTTGTTTGTTCTTGGTTCCTTTTTATTTTAACTAAAAGTGTTTGCTTGATTTTGTTGGTTAGCCCTGGCTGTTTAAACTTAAACAAATGTTTAGTGGAGTGGCCTTATTTTATGAGATTTCCATTTTATTGCATATTTAGCTTATTTTTATTTAGCTCTCTTGCCAATGAGAATTGAAATGTGGCAAATAAGGGGGACAGTCAGCGGACAGCATGAAAACATAACACAGCTTACATACAAGGGATCGTGCCTGCTACAGAATAGGGGCCCAATAAGTGTATACTCTATTCTTTGTCCCATTGTAAGAATCAAATCATCTCTTTACCCCCCTCACTTTCTTTCTCTTTACTTTTCTTTCTCCTAGTCTCTCTCTCTCTCTCTGTGTGTGTGTGTGTGTGTGTGTGTGTGTGTGTGTGTGTGTTTGTGTCTCTGCCCTCCCACCTCTGCCTTCCTCTCTCCCCCCATATATACTCTGTTAAGGAAGAGAGGCCTTACAAGCAGTTGATAAGACTCTTCTCTATTTATCTGACTTGGGATAAACCCGCATCATCTAACTAACCTCATTTCAAACCAAGATTTCAAAACTGTCACATCAGGCCTCCTGATTTTAACTAAGTAACATTTGGGTTTGCATGAAGTTATGTTTAACCAGACTTCTGTGATCATAACTTTTGACTATAGGTTTCATCTTTTTACCAAACCTGATGTTCAAAAATCCTGTAACCACAACTAATTAGACAGCATCCTCCAATACAGGAAATGAATTTCAATTTCTGGCCATATTAATCTTCAATCAGCCTTTTGTAAGACAGTTCTCATTACACCTGGACCTCATGAGAAAAAGATTATTGTATATTTCATATATCTATCAAGAAAGAACATGAAATCATTTTGGACAAGCTAACATCCATGAAAAGCCAATTAAACATCTCAACATCAAATCAGCCATTCAGTGGATTTTTACATAAAACTCCCCTTATGCTCAATTATAATCTAAGAATCCACCAGTAATTTGTTTTCTATCTTTAGGTCCTGCACATTTGAAATCCCTTACATGTGATTAAAAATTATCTTCTTTGGAAAGTAAATCCTTTCAAATCAACTTCTGTTTATATAAAAGAAAGAAAGAGTAAAAGGAGAAAAAACATACCCAAAGACTATTCTAGTTTCATAAGATTTAGAGTGTCTTCATACTTTGTGCCGTCTTCTTTTTCGTAAGCTCCTCCTTTGTTCAGAGGCTTTTATCTAATTCCATTTTCTTTACTTTTATTACAACCAATTGGTCGATTATCTTCTGCCTCTACTAAGAAAAGCTCAGCCTACCTATCCTTGACAATGTTAGAAAATCAGTAGCTTTAAAAGCTCACAATCCTAAATTCCCAAAAGGAAGCAACTGTATTTTCTTTAGTCCAGTTGGTCTCCTAAACACTGACTAATGATTGTTATCTCTGAAACCTTATACCTTAGCACGTGATAAGATATGGCTTTTGCAATAAAGCATTGGTTTTTTACCTGTATTCAAGACTTCTGATTTTCTATCTATAATATCTAATAAATAAAATTGAAAACAAGCACTTTAGCTAGTAGATCATAGTTTTAAATGTTCTGTTGTTGTTGGGACATAGTTTCACTCTGTCACCCAGGTTGGAGTGTGGGGCGCAATCTCGGCTCACTGCAACCTCTGCCTCCCAGGTTCAAGTGATTCTCCTACTTCAGCCTCCCAAGTATCTGGGATTACAGGTGCACTCCACCATGCTTGTGTATTTTTAGTAGAGACAGTATTTCACTATGCTGGTCAGGCTGGTCTTGAACTCCTGATCTCAAGTGATCCACCCACCTCTTAAATTGCTGGGATTTTAGGTGTGAGCCACCACATCCAGACTTGAATGGTTTGCTTTAACTGTCACTCAAACTTCCAGCTGAAGTCAAAATAGGATGAAAATGATAGAAATAGGCTGAGAGGGCATTCTTCAGTGGTTCTTATATTTGATGTGAGAATTGAAAATGCTGACATCATGGTTCCCACCTGCAAAGACTATTTAAATTGCTTTAGGTGAACTCCCAGAATATTCATTTTTAATAAGTATTCCAGGTAATCCTAATCCTGATGATCCTCAGTCTATATTAAGAAACATCACTCTAGATTTACTAAACTCTATATATGAATCTCACAATCATCTGGGAGTTATGTATTTTGATAATTATGTATATTTCTTACGAAAACACCTTTATGTGTATACATATTATCACTTTGCTTTATAAAAATTTGTATATGGTATAGCCCAATCAAAAATATTTCTAAATATTTTGTGAAACTACTGGTGCAGCCACACTTCATTATGTTGTTAAATAACCTGCTTATACTGATTTTGCCCCAAATTTCTATTAGATAGTATTCTCTAAAAAACTCTTCATGAAATAAGATACTTTCTTTTCTTAAATACCTATGAAACATATACTATACTTCCTGCTTTTCTTTGTCCACCAGGAATTTCAAAGTTGATTTTATGCTCAGCAATGTTTTATTCAACATAATTTTTATTCTCCATCACTTTCTGTCACCTTTAATACTTGATGCTTGCCTAATCATTTCTGTTTATTCGACAATAAACTGTTGCAACTCCTCCTTGAAAATGCACAGAGTAAAAAAGTAATGAATGAATAAGTATATAATTTCAAAACAAGTCTGATAGAGTCATAAGATTTTTATAATTTGGTAACCCAAAATCACTAAATGTTGGATTTCTAACCTAAAAATATGTTTTGTATGGTGACTCAAAATTCCAATTTCTAAATAGGAAATTCCTTTTGATTTATGGTGTGTCATCAATCAACAACTCTTCAGTAATTATTTCCTGCCTAATTGTCTACTGATGTGATAGAGACTTACTCTAATGCAAGGCAAATATGTACTATATTTAATACTGTTATATAGTCAATAGTAATAACAATATAATAGCAATCCCTCATATAGCACCTATTTGTAATGTTATTTTGCAAAGTGAAATTTAAAATGGCTTTTCCTATCTCCCACATCCCCAAATCTTCTTAAAAATATTATCAATAGGTTATGTTTCCCAGCAAAATAAGATCGGTCATATAGCTATATATCCACATATGCATCTGTATATAATATTGATTTACACATCTGTACATTTTTGTATTGGTGTATATGTGTGTGCTTCCCAAAATGCAGATTTGAGTACACATTACACATTCACACATATTTTAGTAATATTAAAACAGTATGTACAGATCCAAAAATTGTGAATTAAATAGTGTGGAAAATAATAAAGGAAACAGAAGTAAAAGGAATGTGAGTGGTCTATAAAGTGATTTCTTAATTTATTCATAGTTTTTGCTTAATATAGTGTATTTCAGAATATATTGCCAACATTTGCTACTTGACTGAAAAAAAATCCTCCCTTTAGCTTTTTTTAAGATAAAGAAATCTTACCTTTCATTTAGATAACTATGAATGTATTTGGACTCTTTCCATAAAAATAATAAAGTTCTTTGCTAAATTGATAGGCACTTTACTTATCACTACTCTAGGACCATGCCAACCCTAAATAAAGTAAATAAAGTGTCCTATTTCCACAAAGAAGAGTCAAGAGCCATTTTCTAAACTACATTCTTTTTCTTTGTAATAGGATATTTATTGTGTTATCTTCTGAGATTTTGCATCAAATTAATACAATTTTAAATGCAAAAGCAGAAATTCCATATTAAAAAAGTAATAGCAGACAACAGATCAACATGTATACTTCTAAGTTAATTATGTTTTTCAAAACAACTGCCCTTTATTGCAAACATTAAAAAAATGCAAGGCAATCTATAAAAGATTGGAAAAATATTCATTTGAATTTCCATAATTAAGAATTTACTGAAATGGAAGTAATTTCTTTTTGACATCTATTCTTATGTCCTATTTCACAGTGATGTATCCTCTTCTGAATGTCTATGAGATGTTTTGAAATTAGTGCATTTTTTCTAACTATAGTAATGTTCTAATAAAATAGACAATATGAACAAAAAGACTTAATACTTTCTTGATTGTATATTCAGATATAATAAAGTATCTGAAAACCAATTGACTATCAACATCAATTCTCATACCTAATTTCACAAGAATAAGTAAACTAGTCTTGTGAGATATTTTCAGGTTTGATGTTTTCCATATTATTGGCTATGATATGTTCAGCCTTGAATTTAAACACATAACTGAAGACAATAAAATATTCTGCATTGTGAAAATATAAATACAGTGTTATTACCAGAGTAAATATTTTCAGGTTGAAAAAATAAAAGGAACCCAATGACAAATCATTGAGTTGGATAAAATGCAAGTTACAACTGCTACGCTTTATTTCTCAGCTCAAAAAGGTCACAGTAAAAGTAATACCAGTGGAACAATATTCTTAATTTCCTGTTATGTATTACATGAATTTATTTATCTTTGTTACTAGTTCAGTCTCTCATTAAAAATTACAAATAAAATACAAAGTCATCATCAGAGTTTTAATTATAACATGGGGAAACTTTTAGACCTGCACATACACTGCTTGGTGATGCTGCTCTGTTATGTTTTTAATATTTTGTTTAATGGTGGAAATAGGCATAAAGTAGAGAAAGAAATATAATGGGGGAACCCTCCAGTGTATTGTGCTGTAAAGAACACTGGACTTCAAATGATCTTCCAGAAATCTAGCTTAGATTCTTCCACTAACTAGACCCTATAATTTTATATAAATTTCATGACTACACTCTAACTTAGTTTCTTCAAGTATAAACTGAGACATTTCTACAAAATGATTTCTAACGAGCCTAGCAAGTCAAAATTCCATGACTCTAATACTTCTAGACTAAAGCAAAAAATCAAACATTAGGAATAGCCTGTAGGGCACATTCCTTTCTGATTCAATATTGTTTCTAATGTGCATTATTAGGTTGATCTAATTTAAGAAGAATACAAAAACACCTCATTTGATACAATCTAGACATATTTTCATAAGTTTGAATGTGCTATCTAAAACAATATGGAGAAGAATTTCATTTTTCCAAAGTGCACTAAGATGGTATAGGGTTAGACAGCCTTAATTTCTACAGCATGACGAAAGGAAACCAGCGAATGGTTGGAGTGTGCGCGCGTGTGTGTGTGTGCGTGTGCATGTGTGTGTGTGTTAGCCCCCATGAATCCTTGCTTCCTTATCAGGAAATAGGCCTCTGGAAAGAACTGGGTAAGATGCAGAGTTATCTAGAGGGCAAATGTCTTCATGGAAACAGCATGCTAAAGTGAGAGGCCACACTGAATTCCTCTAGATTCAAAAACTATTTTCACAATTTGTTCATCTGGAAAGCATACCCTTTTTTTGCATTTTTATGTTGTTAATCCAATTTTTCTTTCTCCAAACCCATGTATTTCCAATTATCCATTCATGGTTATAGTTTATTCTTCAGCATGGTGATTCTTATCAAAGCATTGCTTCTGCAAGTTTTCATCACACATCTGCTATAAACATGGTCTCAATTTAATTTGTGTTGAAAAATACATATCCTATGGCAATCTTCACAGATTTTAAGGTATGTAAGCCATTTTGTCTTTCAGGCTTATATAACTAACAAAACACCTGGAAAAGATATATATGTACCTACTGCAAAGTGACAAAAAAGGAATGAAAATCCTTTAACTAGAATTCAAAATGTGTGTAATATTCTTGAACACTAATATTACAATTGACAACTATTAAGTATGCAAATCTATATTCAAAAGAAATAATTATCTGCATCAGTTCCCAAATAATTCCATATCCACTGAGCACTAGCCTTGTCTTTTCAGCTAAAATATGGAATTCAGTTTTCATTTGAACTAGTTTTATTTGTGTTATTAGTAACAATTTACTTATGTATTAGAAAATACTCATTTTTTAGATAATCTCCTGAATAATTGGATATAAATTTTAAGCTAAGGTAAATATAAAAAACTAATGAAGGATGAAAATTTATTCATGGTAAATAATTTTAATTTGACCATTTAAAAATGTTTTAAATGTTTTAGAGCATTTGCTCCTTTTAACACAGAAATCATATCCTATCCCTACCATGCTCACAACTCTCTAATGGCTCCCCCTTTCATCTTAAATGAAATCAGAAGTCTTTATTGTGGTCTATCATATCCTACATAGTCTAGTCCTAACTACTTTTCAGATTCCATTTGCTACTAAGCCCCTTACTCTCTTTGCTTCTATTACAGGGACATTAGATAGAATTGATGAAACTTCATCCCACCTTGAAGTCTTTGTACTCCTTTTCTCTCTTCCTCTAATTCTCTTCATCCAGATAGTCAGAAAGTCATTTCATCACTTTAATCAGCCATTGGCTTAAATGCCAACCCCTTGGAAAAGCCTTGTTTGTCCCCTATGCAAAATAGCAGGCTTGTTACCCAGATGTATTTTGTTCATAGCACTCATCTCTACGTGGCATTATATCATATATTTACATTTTTATTTCTGACTCTTCCACTATTTTAGTTTTAAATAGTTCCTAAGGTGAGAAAGTTGACCTTTTGGTTACTGCTGTGGTCAATGACAGGTAGCAAGTGATCAACAAAGGTCTATTATGTTGAATTGAACTCTGTGAGCCACAGTCTGATTCCCTGAGAGTGTATGTTACTGGTGTTATTTTGGGTTTCCAAGAGCACTATTACTGATATTGTTAAAAGTGAAGAAAATGAAGAAGACGGAAGAATTAGGTCCACATAAAAGCAAAAAAGACAAGACCTTTTACTTTTAGAACAAAATCTTCCCATTCTATTTGACATTATCTCAACTGTCATCCTACTCTTTCAATGTTATTTTTTCCCATTATTAACCTCTAGGAACTCATTCCCTACTCCCCCCACACTTTTAATGATTTAGATCATTACATAATAGACTTGTCAAAATTCCCAAGGCAAAATGGATTGCGTTATGCTAGAATATATACCTACATTTATCTTTACATTTTGTAATCTGCCTTTTAATTTCTTAGAATGTTAACTTCTTCCTGATGGTGATTACATTGAGCTTTTCCTGACAGAAATTGCATCTATCTCCTATGTCATTTACAGACAATATTTCCCTATTTTAAAAAATTCTATTTTATGCATAAATGAGAAAACCTGGATGAAAAACAAGAGTTCCAGCTTGTGTTACTGGTAAGAGAGAACACCTTTCTAGTGATGAAGCATCATCAAAGTATCTGTTGACCCATGGGCTTTTTAAGCTACTCGTATTTACATAAGGAACTGGGCTTTCAAGGGAAGGTAGTATATTTCTATGTTGATTCACCTATATCATGAAGCATCTCCATATGCTTCCCAAAGGCATCCGCAATTTACCTGGACTTCACCAGAAATCAAACTGTTCAAGAAAATGGCAACTGGTAGCCATTAATTCTAGCCTTTGCAGAGTAGTTAGTTATGGATGAAAAAGTTGAGGTCTCACAGCCCTTCCCAGTCAAAAAGAGAAAAATTAAAAGGGTACATTTAGTAGATGAGAGGACAAAATGTTCAAATAACAAATGTAAATACTTTTAACATTGAACAAAGCAAAATAATTTGGCTTAAGAGTAGCAGATTATTGCTAATGTTGAGATGGCACAGCTCCATGGCTAAGGAGCTCTCCATGGCGTACAAGTGCCATCTCACACCATGATCAGCAACACATTAACATAGATATTTTCCTACATTTGAGCACCGAACTAGGTAATAACTCCCCAGAAGGTATACACTCAAACCTCAAAAGCCTTTCAATTTAGTTAGAATGTCAAGAGGTAAAACCATAAATTATATATAAAAATGACACTTACTAATATCAAGCACAATTCCAACTATAAATGACGTAGGCTTGCTTAGGGGGCTGAAAAGCCTTCATGGAGAAGGTCAACGTAAAGGCTGCCTCTCAAAGGAGAAAACTAAAGGGCAAAACATTCAAAGAGCAGTGCAAATATGCACAAAAATGGTGTTTCACCCTGGGGTTTTTTTTTTTTTTTCAATATCAGACGCTATCCCACATCATCAAATCTAGCTGCAGAAGCTAGTGGGAGAGCAATGCTTATACATACATATGTACATAAATACATACATACATGCATACGTGTGTGTGTATCCCTGCTTAGAAAACAATATAAGACATATGGAGAGTAGAAGGGAGGAAAGGGAATGAATTCATTATCACAACTTTAAAGGAAAAAATATACTTCCTTTTCAGTGAATGTTTATTTCACCATTTGTGTTCTTTCAATGAAAGAGAAGTTAAATTGCATATTTTTAATGACTCATAGGCCAACTCTTTCAGGAAATTAGGGCAAAATAACTGAATTCTTTTCCATCAGGCCAGGTAAAAGATTCACCATTGAGTAGTTTGCCGCCAAACGGCCTGAAAGTTCACTGGATGAGAATACAAGGTTGTATTATATCAGATGGGCACCATTATGATAAACCCCAGTGCTGTTTGAATAAATGCAGAGCCAGCAGTGATATTGAGGAATGTGGAATGAGTCACATCAATAGAACTAAGGGAGAAATGCACTACATTAATAGAATAAATAGCAAATGTATTCCTTCTCTTATCCCTGTATAATCAGCAGCAGTCCCGATAATTATTATAACACATTTCTAGATAATGTTTTAGGGTCTTCAGAAGAAAATGAGCATAAAAGTGAAATTTCAAAAAATATTGCTGCTATCCAATTATGTAACTATGGACAAGCCACACAATTCTTAAATGAACAAAATTATTAATTTTAAATAAATGATGGGTCACTTTTCTTCCACTAGGAATGTAGAGATCAGGTAATAAGAAATTTGAACTTTGTGACTCATTTTCAAAGATGAGTATAATTGAGAGGAATGTTCAGAAGTAAATGATGTAAATATAAAAATAAAATAAGACAGTTTATCAGTAGTCTAAAGGAAAATTAAAAATAAAAAAGAATAGCATAACAGACCCACTGAAAATTTAAAAATAGCGTTTTCTCTAGGGTACTATGTTGAAATAACACATATTAAACCTTTTCTGAAATACCTCTGTCTGGCAACCAAGTAAATGCTGAAGTACTACAGGCTGGATTAACATACATATTTTTAAATTCCACATCAAATATTGTCTCTAATTCAAGTGATGGCTAAAACAAAATGAAGACACATAAGATTTGGTTACTTGTAAGGCTAAAAGAGGAATACATACCACATTTCTCTACATTTCTTTAAAAGTTCATTTTCAACTTCCATCAACTAACATTTTCTATAAAGAACTTTACACAAATATGTCATAGTATGTCAAAATAAAAATAGATGTTACTCATATTATGGCACTTCACCAGAAAGATAAATTTTGGTACTTCCTACCTTTTAAAGAGTTTTATATTAATGCACTAGCAATAGTTATGTATAGATGTTGGCACAAGGGAAGATAATTTCACCCATTTCAGTAACAGCTGGGTAAACTTTAAGTCTCTACATAAATGATTCTGCAAGATATACTCCCATCATTACCCAAAGCTATATAATCAGAATACTGACAGGTATCAGGAGAATAGTATTTAAAAGTTTATCCTTCTCTTTAATAATATATAATTATAACATAATGTTATCGTATATCATAGATATGATCATATATATGCATATGATAAATTATTTCAAAGTATGCCATTCTAAAAAAGGAATTTCCCTGATACATCGCTATGAAAATTTAAGTGAAAACTTTTCTGCTTTTTTGTTGTTCCTTAAAATAGTAATTCACCAAACGCACAAAAATTGAAATATGGCAATTATGCTAAGTTTTCTGGCAGCAAAGATGTAACGCCACCGTATTTGTTTTAGATAAATATATAATACAAATTAAATTTTTACTTTCCCAAATTTGTTCTGAAATCAGCATATAATTTATATCGTTAAAATAATAAAATTTATCTCTAAACATAAACTTTACAGAAATGCCATGTAGCAACTTTCCCATATTGAACACTTTGATGAAAACAATTTTGTTTTAAAATTAAAGTGAGATGAACCACAAAAATAACACTCCTGAAATTCTTAAGTTTTATATTATGAGTAATATGATCCCTTCTTTTAAAGAAATTGTCTAAATGGTAATAAGACCAAGAATGCAAATATTTATATTACTTAACATAATAATAACCCTTCAATTATTTAATGTGCCACCTGGTACCACTTCTAATTTCCAGATCATGTGTATGAGGTGCAATAGTAAACTGAAGCTTGACACTGTCTAGTACATTTTTACAAAATAGTTTTTGATTATTGGTGAACACTTGGAAATTTCCTAAGTTTAGCAAGATTTGAGTACTACAATCTAAATGAAAAATAACAACTGGATGTTATTTTCCAAAGGACTTTAGGACAAAAGAGGAGTTCCAGGTTCTTTTTCTAATAAGGCAGTTAATGGCAGTAACTAGAGTTTACATTATGGAAAGGGGAGCCGGGTGGATAAAAGGGTGATTCAGGGACCTGTGAAATGCGCTCAGAAAGAAGGGATGAAATGGAGGAACAGAGCTACCTGATTACTCAATCTAAACACTTAAAAAAAATTCTGACATTATTTTTTCATTTTTTTTAAACTGTGCTTTCTATGTTTCCTACTTTAGTAGGAAATTAAGTAGCCTGAAAACTATTTTTAAAGCGTTCATTTTTCTGATAGATTAAGTAATGACTTATACAGTAAGCATAGTCAAGTTATAGTCTACTGATATATTTGATATTTCAAGGAGCAAATAAAATGGTGATACAAATACACCTTGGTTCTAAGATAGACACACTCAGTTCTTTAGATCATAAAACCAACTGAATATTGTCTAAAATACTCTAGAAGCTGCAAATGATTCTGCCAGTCCTGAATGACAAAGCTCTTGGTTATTTATTCTCATGTAGATAACGTTCATACGAGATGGAACTTTCAATAACCACTGTTTACAATCACATTTTCACTTCTATTATCACTAATTGAAGAACATTTAGCTCCATTAAAATTAATAGCCCCATAAAAAGAGCTCAGATAACTCTTGATAATCATTCAGACATAGTTGGATATTGGCTTCAACTATTATTTCCCAGAAAGTTTGCACCTTACACTTCATCCTCTAAGTATAGAACTACAGCCTAAACAATAAAGTTAGGCAATGGCTTTTATTGAATATTTTGTATTATTAAATAACTGAGTCACAAAGATGGCACCAAAAAGGCAGGGCTTATAAGAATCTGTTTCTTCAGGGTACAATACATAATACATTTTGATGAGAAATTAAAGACATTTTTCTATGAAATTCTGTTATATTATAAAGCATATGATTTGTCAAGTGTCCATATATGTTCTCATTTTGATTACATCGACATTTCCACATCTTAAAAGTATGACTGCTCTATTCCATCAGGATCATTAATTAGCTTAATTTCCTGAAAATTAAAATGTTCAAATTCAGTGAAGCTAAGTCTTTAAAGTAACTTCCACTTAGCTTCCAAGTTCTGAGAAAGCGTGTGTATTCAATGCTTCTAATCCACTTACTTACCTATGAAACATGTGAACTAAATCCACTGCATAGATTTTACTCAGGCAATATAATTCAATTTCTTAAATATTTTCAAAAATGGGTGCTTTTAAGTATTTTATTTACATAATAAAAAATTGTCACTAATGTTTAATGTTGTCTCATATTTTCCTTGAAACAAAAATAAGCTTCAAAATAAAATAAAAATTGGAAAGTCATTTCCAGAAACAAGTTTTAAAATAATGCTAACTTCTCAAGTCTAGTATAGAACTATTAGCTATATGAAATTAGAATTCTCATCAACATTCTTTTTATACCTATATTCAATCATATAGACACTATATAGCATTAAAATGATTCACTGATACCTCAAGAAACACAGCCATATATACCAAATTTTTAAAGTGTATTTCATTTTAATAGTTCTCCCTTCCTATTAAAACAGAATCTTTTTTATTCAAGTGTACTTCTAATTTGACGTCATGATGGTGATTTGCACTACCCATTTGTCCTTAATAAGGATCTCCTGCTACAAAATGACAAGACAACAAAAACAAACCTCTTTGATAAAGAATCAGCACCTACACTGCGAAGGCATTCTGCATCATCCTTATCCTTATAAACTGTCACAAATTTGCCAACAAGATAAAAAGGAAATATAAGAAGTAGAACATGGATTTTCACTAATTCATTTTTTAAATGTACCAGTAGGTCTTTAAAAAAATGAGACTAAATAAAAATCATAAATCATTGTATTTTTCTTTACCCCAATTTCTTGTTTAACCTAGCCTAAAATTCTTCATATATAAACTATTCCATTAGCTGGCCACATGACATGAGAAATTCTGTACAACACAATATGTCTAATAAAATTAAGTTGACTTTAACCACAATGTCATTTAAAGAAGCCAATTAAATTATCCAAAAACACAAAGCTTAAAGAGTAGCCTTGGGAATAACTTTTTTCTTATAGCCATTACCAAATCCTCACTAAACTGATTACCTATGCAAGAATAGTAGCACAAAGCTGAAGAAAAGGCACTCACATCACTCCCCAGCTTATCTAAGAACTCATAAAAGTAAAAAGATCTAACCATTTTATTTTATTAGATTCTCTAATATGTAAAATGCTGCTACTTTTCTGCAGTTTAACATTATTAATCATTTGCCTCCTTTCCTTTTCTCTACTACCTAAAAAAACTTAATTCTAGCCCTAAAAGTATATTAAAAACAACAGCATGAATTCAGAAATTTGTCCCTTTGGTTGCAGAACTTCATTATACCCCCAAAAAAGAATTCACAAAAAAATTCTAAAAGGAAATTAGGACCCCAAATTTTATAATACAGCCAGCCTTGGTGACCATCAATCTTACCAGATACTGCTCTATCTTCTATGTGTATTTAATGGGTGTGGACCCATTGCCTGATGGGATCTGTAGATTCTAAAAAAAAATGTGTGGATGACAGTCTTTTGCTTCTTTTTTTGAAACTATGAACCTAGAGCTTGAAATATGTTGCAAATTTAATTCCACTGCATATTGTAGAGTTGATCAGTTTCAGCTCTGATATTCTAAAAGACTGAATAACCTATCAACCATAATTAAAGTGCATACATATGAATATGTGCATATATATTATAAAATACTTTGATAATTACATCTACAATCTATGTATTACGATGTAAAATAGGAATTATGGTTCTTAGAGGAAAAATGTACACCATAAGTATCTATTCATATGAAAATAATAGTTCAAGTATACCTGGAAACTTTTCATTTAAATGCATTGAACCACTTTATAGACATTTCAATATACATTGTATATATTTGTGTCTTTATTAGGGCATAGATTTTGTTTTTCATTGTCATATTTTTATATATTAATATAAATATTGCTACTACTTTCATATATTCAGGAATTCTAAAATTTCTTTGTATCTTTATCACTTTCAGGCATCAACATTTGCCAGCAATGCCTTAATACTTCAACGTGTGTATTATACCCATTTCACAGATGAAAAGAGTTTTGCCAAACCATTTAGATAATGCTTTCCTAAACTCAGGAAAGAAAACAAATGATTTCCCCGGAGTTACCATGTAACCTCGATGGGTCCACAATCGCCTCACCCATACCCAACCTCCATCCCATTTCCCATTATGGCACCTACCCTAGTGTTGTCATGGTGACGATGGTATACCAGAAGGCTGCAGGGATGCTGGTGAACTTGCTAGCCGAAGACCCCTTCTCTGCGTAGAACATAACTGTAGCGAAGATGATGATAGCCATGGTGAGCGAGAAAAGCAAGAAGCCCAATTCTGAGGCACAACTCTTCAGTGTGTACCCCAGGATGCGCAGGCCTTGAGAGTGGCGGGAAAACTTAAAGATCCTGAAGACCCGGAAGACTCGGAGTGTGACAAAGGCTCCGCTGACGTCCTCATTGTCTGTCATCACCAGCCCAATGTAATAAGGCAGGATGGCCACCACGTCGATGATACTCATGACACTACGCACAAAACGGTAACGACTAGGCGCTGCAGCCAGGCGAAGCAAATACTCAACTGTGAAGATCATGACGCAGGCCGTGTCCAAGCAGAAGAAGGCCACAGCATACCGCTCTCCACAGGGCAGTTCTTTAATGTGACCTGGGCTTGATCCGCACGGCACTGTTTCCACCACATTCGCGATGACAGAGACGGCAATGAAAAACCCCGTGACATAGTAGAACACCAGGGCCATCGTGCTGGTGTGGGGGTTCTCGAAGGCCCTCCAGACCCTCTGCCTTGCAGTCATGGTGGGCAAGGCGCTCTCCCCAGCGGTGTCGGTATCCGCGTCGTCCTGCAGGCGCTCGGCGTTCTCTCGCCTGCGATCCTTGTACTCCTCATAACAGCAGTCGCCGATGATTTCCGGGATGAGGCCAAAGAAGGCCAGTTCTTCATCGTAAGCAGAGATGCACTCGTGGCGAGGATAGTGGAGCTTCCCAGTGCGGTAGAAATTCAGGATGTGGCGGAAGATGTCTGGGTCACGGTCAAAGAAATACTGCTGAGTTTCTGGGTGGTAGAAAAAGTCCCTCTCAGAACTGCCCAGTAGAGTGTCTGGGTAACGTTCCAGGGTGTCCTGCCACGTCTGGAAGCGGGTGCCACTCACATTCAGCACAATGAGAGCATCTTGGGTCCTTTTCCTCTCCTGCCTCGGGGGAGCCGGCATAGGCCCCGAGGCCACAGGCATCCACCCGATAGCCGCTGCCCTTGCAAAAGGCAGCCACGCTGCCACCCCCGCCGCCATGATTACTTGAAGCGGAAGGAAGAAGGGTAACGAGGCGTCTACAATGGGTCACCGAAGCAGCCAAAAGTCACCCACTTCCTCCAGTCAAGCAAAGTACTAGTGAGAAACGTGGTCCAGAGGTGTAACTCTTATTCCAAGATAGGGCTCCTGGTAAAGTCACAGTTCTCAGAAGGGCAACTTTCCCTCCAAGACAGGTATTTGGAATAATGGCAACAAAATACAACGTCCTAACAATCACCCTCAACAGAACCCAGCCAAATCTCTTCCTGCAGGTGGGCTAGGCCACCCTCTGGCACAAATAAGCACACAGGTGCAGCCGTTTCTTCAAACAGGTGTTTTTGATTTCTCCCCGGCACAGTCTGGATAATATAGGGTCAGTATGTGGAGTGTAGGATAGAGAAGACGAACGAGAGTCACCCAATAGAATTCTTTCGACGAATTAGGGAACCCTTACACCTACCCTTCTCACTCTTTCAAACCTTCCTTTCCAAGTAGCCCTTCCCGCCAAAGGAGTCTCAAAAAGGCGACCTGTTGTTGTAGCTCAGGAGATGCGGTCACAGCCGCTGCCCCACGTCTCTCTTTGGGGGTCCAGCTGCTGCTGCCTCTACTCCTCGGGCTGTATTTGCAGAGATGGAGGTGATGTGCAGTGGTTACGGTGGGGGGCGTTAATAGAGATTCTCCTCCCCCACGTCTACAAACACCCTCTGTGTCTGCCAAAAGCGTTCGCCCAATCGCCCCTTCACTCTCTTTTCAAGTTCAGCTCAGGTGCAGTGTGACAGTTACAGAGCTCAGGAGCTGGCAGCCGCCGCCGCCGTGGCGGCAGCAGCATCTGCTTCCGCGCAGAACGCGCCGCTCCCGCGGTACATACCTGGCCAAGTGCGCGCCGGGGCTTAGTTGCATAGAGACTTTCTCCTCGCCGTGCACCCGGAAAGGGAAGAGGAGAGAAAGCAGCTCGCGAGCAGCCGAATCCGATGCGCCGAGAGAGCATAAATAAAGCTCAAGCGAGCTCTTCTTTCCCTTCCCCCATCCCTCCGTGCCTCCCTCCTCCTTTTCACCTTCCAAAAGCCAGGCGCAGGCGAGCAGAGCAGCAGCAACAAGTTCAAAAGGTGCGGGGGAGGCGAGAACGGAGGGGACTCGCTCCTGCCAACTTACTGCGGGGCCACTGTCGCGGGAGCCTGGCCAGCGCGGTGCGGGGCTGCGGGGCGGCGGGGCTGCGGGGCGGCCGGGCGGGCGGCGTTGGCGCGGTGGGGCCGGGGCCGGGGCCGGCACGGGCTCTCGTCCGAGCGCGGAGGCAGAAGGCGCTCGGCAGCGCGGGGGCGCGGGAGGGCTGCTAGCTGCTTCCCCGCCAGTGGGTGGTCCTGCATCTCCCCGGGCTCCCCGCGCTGCTCTGCTAGTGCGATCAATAAATAAGGAGAAAATAAATAAATAACCGCGCGCACGCCCCGCCACGCAGGTTAGGAAAGGCGTCTCCTGCCTTTCCCTCGGCTTGACCTTTCTCCGCCCCCGCCCCCTCGGGCTCCTCTCGCTCCACCCCAGCCACCCACCAACCCCGGCGCAAAATGTCACCGAGGGAGAGCATCCAGGTGGATCTGCTGGGGAGAAAAGCGAGCCTCGGATGAACAAAGGGAAGCTTCACGTGCTGGGCTGCGGTGGTTTGGTGGAGGAGAGGAGAAAGGGGACCCGTGCCTTGCTTCTGCCTCTCGAGTCCCGGTTCAAGGCGAGCGTGGGAAAATGGGGGGAAAGAGAGCGAGAGAAGCTGGGAAGGAGGGTGAGCGGAGCGGAATGCGCAGGAATTGGTTGTCTTCTGGGGGCGACTGGAAGGCAAGACCCGCAAAGCTCCGACGCGGAATTTTTAAGTGCATTTCCTCTTTCTGTTTTTATTTATTTTCAAAACCAGATTGTTAACGTTGCAGGGATTGATATGCCATCTGTCCAACTTGCCAAAAAATCAGAGACTCTCCTCGATCGAGGTCTTGACACAACTCCTTTTCCCGTCCTTTACGAATAACAGGGATGTGGAGCCCTTTTCTAAATGTCATCGTCAAGGGGCGTGCGTCTCTGAAAGTTTGCGTCCCCTTCATCCTCTCTGCGCATCACTGCGCATATTTAAAATAGTTAAAAGAGTTAAAGGTGTTCGTATGAGGGGTTACTGAGGTAGAGAGACACAGGAAAATTGTCGCTACCAACCTTTTTGTTTTTCGCGTACCCCGCCCCCGAGTCATTAGGAATCATCCTTAAAACCAAACGTAACACATACAAGCCACTAGATGGCGTGGATGGCGAGAAGTTAAATCTGCACCTAAGGTTTGGATGCTTTAGGAAGGTGAAGGATCAAAATTAACTGGTCCAACAGAGAGTCAGATCACATAAACATCCCCAAACCCCTTCGCTGCCACCCACCTTTTTTGTGTTTATGTGACATATACTACTTAGGCTTGAGTCTGCATTTGGATAGTTGTGGGATGAGATGTGGAGAGTTTCCTTTTGAAATTCCTTTGAAAATTAAATCTAGATTACTGAATCATCATCATCATAGTAATTAAGATCTTTGGCAATAATGAGGCTTCATCTGTATTGATGAAGAATAGTAGCCTAATTTCTACCTAAAAATTACTTTTCATGGCTTGGTTTGACTGCCCTTGGTTTGTAAAATAAGTGGACTGTGTGTTGTACTTTACGGAAATTGACTTTTAAGCCCTAGAGATTACAGGCATGATGTGTCAACCTTGAAAATTTGAAATGGGATACGTCAAAGAAAATATATAAACTAAAAAATGAGTATAGAAAATAACCAGAGAATTTAAAATATCCTTATCATGTACAGGATTTTCTGTAGAGATAAAAGGGTATTTTTTGTTTGTTTATTTGTTTACAGAATAGAGATTTAAGGAATCCTGTGTCAGTAGTAATGAAGTCAGAGCTAATGCACCATTTAAGTTTGAGGACAAGGAACTGAAGACACCTGCTCTTTATCTATTTGTTTAAGTGAAAGATGCTTGTTAACCAATCTATATAGCCTGCATACCTGAAAACAAACACACAAGCATGTTACCTGGAAAATGGAAATGAGGGGCTTACTACCAATTAATATAAGAAAACCAACCCCTCGTTAGTCCAAACAGTAAGGTGGCACTATGACAGGTGCTGGGCATGGAATCCAGAGGGTGGAGCGCCATGAATATTTAATCAATGCCAATAATGGCATGCTTTCCTGTAAAGATGGGGCGAGGAACCTAAATAGAGCCTTTAAAACTGTGTGGGAAACTGAATGCTTACAAATGTAAAAGTAGGAGCTTAACTCACAAAAGCCCCAAAGAAGCAAGAACATAATATGTACAGTTTTTAAGAAGGTACTGGGATCTGCCCTCCTGCATCTTCAACAAGCTTCTTGATATAGTGGAAAGAATGTGGGCTGAGAACTTAAACACATCTAAATTCAAAATCTTGCTTAAGAAATTACTTACTGGCTTTGTTTCATTTGGCAAATTACTTCTATGATTAGAAATTATAGATAATGAAATTTAACTTTTCAGGCCTGTCGTGAAGATGAAACAGGATCATACTTCTGAACACCAGTGAAATACTTAGCACATGAAGTGTACTCAATATTGGTTCTTTTTTATTGTAATGCATAATGCTAATGCAATTCATTTTATCCAGCCCGTATTTGGAATTCCCTTAGATACTTTCCATAGTTATGTATTGCTTAATGACAGGGATACATTCTGAGAAATGTGTCTTTAGGAGATTTCATCACTGTCTGAATATCATAGAGCGTACTTACACAAACTTAGGTGGTATAGCCTACTACACACCTATGCTATATGGTACAGCCTATTGCTCCTAGACTACAAACCTGCCATCATGTTACTGTACTGAACACTGTAAGCAATTTGTAACACAGTGGCAAGTATTTGAACCTCTAAACATATATATACACAGAAAAGTTGCAGTAAAAATACAGTATAAAATATTTTTAAGAACGGTACACCTTTATTTGGCACTTCCTATGAATGGAGCTTACAGAACTGGAAGTTTCTCTGGGTGATCAGTGAGTAAGTGGTGAATGAATGTGAAGGCATAGCACATTACTGTACACTTCTGTAGACTTTATAAACACTGTATATTTAGGCTATGCTAAATTTATTTTTAAAATCTTATTTTTCCTTCAATAATAAATTAACCTTAGCTTACTATCTTTTTTTACTTTAAAAACTTCAATTTTTAACTTTTTGACTCTTTTGTAATAACACTTAGCTTGAAACACAACACATTATACAGCTGTACAAAAAAATATTTTCTTTATATCCTTATTCTGTAAGTTTTCTTCTATTTTTGTACTTTTTTTGTTTTGTTTTGTTTTGAGACAGAGTGTCGCCCAGGCTGGACTGCAGTGGTGCGATCTCAGCTCACTGCAAGCTCTGCCTCCCGGTTTCACGCCCTTCTCCTGCCACAGCCTCCCGAGTAGCTGGGACTACAAGCACCTGCCACCACGCCTGGCTAATTTTTTGTATTTTTAGTAGAGACGGGGTTTCATCGTGCTAGCAAGGATGGTCTTGATCTAGACCTTGTGATCCACCCTCCTCGGCCTCCCAAAGTGCTGGGTATTTTTGCACTTTTTAAAAACTTTTTGAATGTTTTGTTAAAAGCTAGGACACAATTACACTGGCACAGACCTACACAGGGGCAGGATTATCAGTATTACTGTTTTCCATATCCACATCTTTTCCTACTGAACGTTCTTCATTCTGTCTTCAGGGACAGTAACATGCATGGAATACCAAGGCATACCAATGCCTTCTTCTGGAATACCTCTTGAAAGAGCCTGCTTCAGGCTGTTTTACAGTTAGCTTTCTTTTATAAGTAGAAGGAGTACACTAAAAAATAATGATTAAAAGTATAGTATACTAAATATATAAACCAGTAACATCGTTTATTATCATGATCAAGTATTATATATTGTACATAATTGTATGTGCTGTACTTGTGCAAGACTGGCAGCACAGCAGCATCCTCACAGACACCTGAGTAACGCATTAGGCAAGGACATTACAATGGCTGCGCATCCCTAGGCAGTAGGAATTTTTCAACTCCCTTATAATCTTTTTGTTTTTTTCCTTTCCAACTTTTATTTTAGGTTCAAGGGGTCCATGTGCAGTTTTGTTACATGGGTAAATTGCGTGCTTTAGGGGTTTGGTGTGCAGATAATTTTGTCATGCAGGTAATCAGCATAATACTCAATAGTCCCCTCCTTCTACCCTCCACCCTCAAGTAAGCCCCGGTGTCCACTGTTTCCTTCTTCGTGTTCATATGTGCTCAATGTTTAGCTCCCACTTAGCAGGGAGAACATGTGATATTTGTTTTTCTGTTTCTATGTTAATTCACTTAGGATAGTGGTCTCCAGCTCCATCCATGTGGCTGCAAAGGACATGATTTGTTTTTTTTATTGGCTGCACAATATTCCATACTATGTATGTGCTACATTTACTTTATCTAGTCCACTGTTGATGGGCATCTAGGTTGGTGTCATGTCTTTGATATTATGAATAGTGCTGTGATGAACGTACATGTGCGAGTGTCTCTAGGGCAGAACAATTTCTATTCCTTTGGATATGTATCCAGTAATGAGATTGCTGGGTTGAATGGTAGTTCTATTTGAAATTCTTTGAGAATCTCCAGACTGCTTTCCACAGTGATCATGGCAATCAAGCAAGAGAAAGAAATAAAAGGGATCTAAATAGAAAGAGAGGAAATTAAACTACTTCTCTTTGAAAACTATATGATTTCATACCTAGAAAACCCCATAGTCTGCCCAAATGCTCCTGTCTCTGTGAACAACTTCAGCAAAGTTTCAGGATACAAAATCAATGTACAAAAGTTAGTAGCATTTCTACACATCACTAACATCCAAGCTGAGAGTCAAATCAAGAATGCAATTCCATTCACAATAGTCCATTATAATCTTATGGAACCACTGTGTATATGTGATCCATCATTGACTGAAATGTCGTTATTTGCTATATGTCTGTCTGTATTTACTCTTCCCTCCGAATTCAAAAATCCCCTTGTTCTGATATTCAGATGATAGTGATATTTTAGTCTTCATTCATGCATTGAAATGCTATGTGAAAAGTAGGCATACAAATTCTCGAAGAGCACGGTATATATCTCCCTTGCTTAGGGATTCTTATTCTTTACTCTTCTCATTTTATATACTCTGTTTGGTTGATTACAAGGAAAACAAACTCAGCAGGATCAACCTTGAATGCATCATCTCTCTCTTCCAATCATCTACTCCCTCTTTTCTCTTTTGATCAGTGAAGTCCCACAAAGAAACCTGGTGGTCATCCTGTTCTTTACTACTTGCCCCCCAGCAAACACCCAGACATAGCCAATGACCCAATAGGTCTTATATATTCCACCCTCATTACCATCTATCTATCCTTACACTGCACCTAGAGTGAATTAAAACAAACAAAAAACCTATTTTGAGATAATTATAAATTCACATGCAGTTGTGAGAAATAATAGAGATTCCTTATGTATATCACCTAGTTTTCCCCAAAGGTAACATCTTGCATATTATAGTATAGAATCACATACTGGAAATTGACATTGATACTCTGTTAGTCCAGTCAAACTACTATAAAAAATACCATAAACTCGGTGTCTTATAAACAGCAGAAATTTATTTCTTACGGTTCTGCAGGGTGGAGAATCCAAGGTAAAGGAGCCAGTAAATTCAGTGCTTGCTGAGGGCCTGTTTTATGGTTCAGCCTCTGTGGGAGGGTAGAAGCCTGCTTTCTGTAAGCACCAGTAACAAACTCAGATGGGTTTAACATGGAGCAACCCCCCTTTCCAATTTTTGTAATTTTTCCACTTCCCTGACTTTACTGAGTCTCTGCTCGCCAGCCCTGCATTCCTTCATTCTTCCTTTAAAATGCCTGGTGACCTCTGTACAAATTGATCTCCACTTTAACTAGTGTCCTTCCAGCTTTGACAGGTTTTTCTTTGACAATAGTGATATTTCATTGTGGTTTTAATTTGCATTCCTCTAATGGCTAATTTTGTTGAACATATTTTTATGCTCGTATTTGCCATCTGCATATACTCTTCAGTAAAATGTGTTACCCTTTGGCGCATTTTATTTTGATTGTTTTGTTTTACACTGTTGACTTTTGAGAGCTCCTTATATATTCTACATAATTGTCCTGTGTCGCATACGTTGTTTGCAAATACTTTCTCCTAGTCTGTAACCTGTCTTTTCATCCTTTTTACAGGGACTTTTGCAAAACAAAATTTTTTTTCATCTTGATATGCTCCAATTTAGAAATTTTTTATTTTGTGAATCATGCTATTGGTGTGAAGTCTAAGAACTCTTCCTAGTCCCAAGACTCGAAGATTTTCTCTGCTTTTTTCTAAATATTTTATAGTTTTACATTTTAAAATTAAGTTTATGATCTATTTTGAGTTAATTTTTGTATAAACAAAAAAACTTTCCTGGAGTTTTAGTAGATACTATATTAAAATTTGGAAATTGACCTTGATAATCTTTCTTTTGAGTCTTTTAATCTGGGAACATGGTATGTTTCTTCATTTATTTGTTTTTTTTTTTTTAATTATCAGCATTTTGTAACTTTCAAGATGCTATATATGTTTTTATTAGGCTTATGCCTAAATATTTTATTACCTTTGGAGCAATTATAAATAGTATTGTGTTTTTTAAAATTTCAATTTCCATATGTTCATTGTTAGCATATAGAAATGCAATTTGTTTTTGTGTATTGATCTTGTATCCTGCAATTTTGTTGTACTTCCTTATTAATGCATGAGTTTTCTATGTACACAATCATGTCAACCTGCAAATAGGGTCAGTTTTCTTTCTTTGCAATGTGTATACCGTTTATTTAGAGTGTTATGTTTTAATGAACTCATAATCATATCTCACCCCTTTCAATAGCCTTCCTTTTTTTCCTAAATTAATCCTTACAAGAGAATATAGACTGTTCAGGATCTCTACTTCCTCTACTCTGTAAACCTCATCCCATGATATTTTAACATTAACCTACTTCACAGTCTGGCTCAGCTGTTTTTAGTTTGCAGAATTTAATGTGTTTTACCTTGATCCTGGGTCTTGGTACATGCATCCTTTCCCCCAGTTATCAGCTACTCAGCTCAAGATTCACATCCTCCAGGAACCATGGACTAACCTCTTCAAAATGATGTCCAACTTATCTGCTTTGTCAGAGTCTGTAACAGCTCTGTGTCATTCTGTTTCTTAGCCACTGCACTGTAACTTCCTTGAGAGAAGGCAATGGCCTTTTAACTCTAGATCCTAAGTATTTGTTATCATGCTTGGCACATGGTAGAAATACAGTGAAGGTTTGTTGAATGAGTGAAGAAATACTCTAATTAGATAATTAATATATACCTTTTTTTCCATTAGAGATTATTAATCTAACTCTCTAAAAAAATGTTCATAAAGAATCAACCTAATTTACTACCAAGATGTTCAGTGGATAAAAAAATTTACCTTAGCAGTGAGCCTCATTTGTACGACTCTGTAAAAAGTACTTTCTCAATGTATTTACTCTAGTTAATTCTCAAAAAGGCTTTGTGAGATGTGGATTATTCCAATGATTATTTTTCCCAAAGGGAAACAAAAGCTCAAGGAGGTTAAATCGTTTTCCAGGATTATATTATACAACTAAGTGGCTGAAGCTGACTCACTGCCAGGACTTCTGACCCTAAAGTATATATTATTTTAGCTCCATAAATACATCAACAGACGTCTGCAGTAGTAAAGTCTGCATGCCAATTTGTTTTTCCCAATACTGGTGATAAATTTGCACAGATAGGTGTAAACTCTCTTACTTGTCCCCCAGGTATCTCTCTGAGGTCTTTGACAGGGCAGGAAATAAGCCTGTGCTCATAGGGAAGGAGAGCACCACATCTACTCATCCCATATTTTAACCAGTTATACCAACTTCCCAGAAGGATGGATTTAAATTTCTAGATAATCTATTTTAAATAAGATAAATTTAGTATATCTGACTACATCCTTAGAATCTCTTTCCAGATAACTCTTTTTTTGAGTCTCTATTAGATTATTTTTAACATTCTATCATCTTAATTTTAAAAGATAGTAGTTCTGAATTAAAAAAGAAATTCAATCAACATGTAAAATGAGCAAAACCTTTAGCCAGTCATTGAGTTATGTACATTAACTTTTGACTGAAGTCTAGCAGCTTCAAATTTTTATGTATTAATTTTTTCATAAAACACTATATTTGTTTATATTGTGAACTACCAAAGAAAAAACTACCAAGGAAAAATACCAAAATATTTGCTCATGAATTGTAAACATTTCATAAAAACTATGACTATGTAGAAAAAATATATAGTATATTTTTAATTTACTTTCTGGGTTCCATATTATTTTGAGTTTGGCAGAGGAGCTTTATCCTATGGTAATTTTTTTGTACTCTTTATTCATTGGAAAATATACACAGCTGTCTGTTTGTTTGTTTGTTTTTAACCTTTGTTCCCTGGGGAAACAAAATCTGATATACTAGCAAGATAAGGGGTACATATAAAAGTCACAGCATAGCTAAGGCTAGTTAAATACTTAAAACATATTTGAGTTTTCAAAAACTTCACAGTATCCCTAGGATATGGTCTTCAAGGAAAGGGCAGTGACCCTGTGTCTTTCTTTAGACTATTATTAAAAAGACAAGTTGGCAACCTGAGCTCAACTTCTTTTATCCCATGTATTAATACCGTCAAAGTCTTTTGCAAAGTCCTCTTCAAAAGATCTTCCCTTTTTCAAGTTTTAGACCTTGAAGAGTTCCTATTAAAAATAACCCATTTACAGGGACTTTATTCTTCATATACAGAAAGTCTTAAATATATTTTATGTAATGAAATGGACTAAATTCTCAAAGTTCCCACAATGCTATTCTGAGAATCTGTCACAATCTATGTGATTGGAACTCTGTTAAGACTAGCAAATTTGAAAATAGGTATACAAAATCTAACCATCATGTTACAGTCTCAATTCTGCCTCATGAGATGACTATTGTTATGAAAGAACTCAGTGGTTCTTTTAATATAAAGAATATTTGTGTTGAGAAGGTAGACCTCATATTAACTGTTCTTACCACCCAAAACAGAGGGCACAGTGAAACTTTGGAAGGTGTTGGATATGTCTATTACCTTGATTGTGGTAATGAGCCAGACTCATCAAATTGTACATATTACATCAACCATACTTTAATAAATCTGGTAAAAATTTATTTTGTACATCAACCGTACTTTAATAAATCTGGTAAAAATAATAATTTTGTTATTAAAATATTCTTGGTATCATGAATGCTGATGCACTTGTTATGCCTATGACTTAAGAATGCAGGGGGCAAATTAGAAGGAAAAAATCGGTTTCTAAATGATTATTATTGATCACTCACAATGTGCAAGGCACCAAGTTGAATAGTAGAATGACCCAAGTTTTCAAGATCAACCTGCCCTGATGGAGCTTGACATCTGGGGGAAAACAAATGAGAGAGAGAACATGGAAATCTCTTTTAATACAAAAGTAATCTTGCTTGTGAGTTTCATTTCAGAATCTGTTCCCTAAGTGTTTCATTCTCCAAGAAACTGTTTATTTGTCAGAAATGGGAGAAGAGGAAAGATAAGTAGGAACATATAAATTTGCTTCTTGGACTCATTATCATATTTATAACTTTAGGATTAATTGCTATGAAAAAATTCCAGTGCCATAAACTGAGAATTGTGACTACAAATGAGAATGAAGCAGCAAGGGTTCTGAAGAAACAAAAGTCTTATTTTTCTAAAACTGGAGAAGAGCAAATTCTTGCATATGGTACTAACAATGGCTAAGAAGATAAATTACTTCCAAATCGTTTATAGCCATTGAAAACCTGAAAGAAGTCTTACAAGGTTTTCATCATTTAAGAAGCCACATTCTGCGAGAAAACTGGCGATTAATTTGCTTGTTTACTTTCTTTAAAACCACTTGTTATGCTCTAGCAAGCCACTTTGATACACAAAGTATATTTAATTCATTATTTTTATACAACATTATGTGGTCGGCTTTAATAAATCACTCAAAGTAGTAGAGTTTAAAGAAAAGCAAAACAATAGAATACTTAAAATTATCTAAGTATTTAAAATTATTTAAGTATTTAAGTATTAAAAGAAGATCCCTTAATTACCCCACTTTTAGAAAATGATAATATGTAATTTTTTTGTTTATGACTTAGCCTGCATTTAGATTTTAATTTAAACCAAGAAAATTATTTAATAGAGGGTTATTAAGCAGGTTTTACATTGCAGCTGTTCCAGTCCCTCAGGTAAATACTCATTGAAAGAGCTTATTAAAGTTTGTTCTACTTATTTATGTTTAAATTCTTATTCTTTTTCCCTTGTGTGAAACCTTTGTGGGGGCAGAACTCCAACTGATTTTAAATAGAGTTCCGTGCAGAAAGGATCTATGGAGAGCAACAAACCTGGAATGCTTATTAAGTAATTGCCTCTGATGTTCTTTGTCTATGTGTGTCTCGTTTTCAATAACACTTTTTTGAAATATAAGTTTTTCTCTGAATAAAGACATTTGGAAAGTGTAGCTTTTTTATCCTAGCGAAGGACTGTATAGTCAAAAGGGGATAGAAAAAATAACAAATATTTTAAACATTTTAAAAATATTTTACAATAAACATATTTAAAACATGTAAAATATGAAAAAAGATGGCGGGGCGTGGTGGCTCAGGCCTGTAATCCCAGCACTTTGGGTGGCCAAGGCAGGCGGGTCACAAAGTCAAGAGATCGAAACCATCCTGGCCGACATAGGGAAACCCCCGTCTCTACTAAAAATACAAAAATTAGCCGGGCGTGGCGGCATATACCTGTAATCTCAGCTACTTGGAAGGCTGAGGCAGGAGAATCCCTTGAACCTGGGAGGCGGAGGTTGTAGTGAGCTGGGATTGCACCCCTGCATTCCAGCCTGGCGACAGAGTGAGACTCTATCTCAAAAAAAAAAAAAAAAAACAAAAAAAAAAAACCGAAAAAAGACATGGACACTGTATGATGTGAGGTGAAAATACTGTAGAAAAAGCAAGTATTGCTTGCATGGTAAAAGAAATGGCATAGTTAGAGGAGAAAGGAATTAAAAGATTCCAACACTGATCATACTTCCTCTTTGTTTATTTCTCTAACCAATTTATAGAGAAAATTTAAAAAAAAATTATTCATTTTATTACATCTATGTGCAGGAGAAATCTAAAGAAGAAGAAACTAAGAGAAAAAAAGAGACTTCTCCAACTGAAGGATGCAATAAGAAAAGTCAATGAAATGTGCATAAGATGACTTGTGAGAAAAAATGTTGCTATGCATGATGATCTGAATGTTGGGTATGGAAGGCTAAGATGAAAAAGATAAGGGACAGATGTTGAGCCCAGTGACTGGAAGAATAATTATAACAAACAGGAAGTAGAAGGAAAATGTATTTAGGGAAAAAGATGGCTATCTTTCATACTGGTGTGTTAAGATAGCTGTTGTAGTAGGCTCTAAATGCAGGAGATAGAGGAGTTTAATGAAAGACTTGAGCTTACAGTCCTAGGTCTTCTAGAAATTTGCTCTTTGATATTAAACCTTTGGAAATTAGTATCTTGTTCTACATCCTCAATTTCACTTCCAGTTCTCTTAGATGCAGTAAGCTTATCTTGGCAGGGTGGGGGTGGGGTAGTGCTTTAAACCTATGTTTGATATCAACAGCAATAATACATTTATAACCTCTCTCTCCCTAACTGAGAAATACATTCTCATCAAAATAACCAGTGGAATATTTATTTAAAGAATATAACAATATTTAAAAATTTCTGTTGTTGTATATTAGGACCATGGAGAATAGAAACAAATATGCTATATATAGTCTGTTAAATCATACATATATAAGTCAGATATATACCTGTAAATATATATCTACATCTATATTAACTTTCTAAATATACACCTACTACTGCCACTCTTCATTTATCCTCCAGTACTCTGCCAGCCACTGCTACCACTGTTTCATCCCTGTGTAGACACCCTCCTCTCCCTGCCCCAATATCCACAATTGTGCCTTGGTTCTCCCTCTGTTTGAATGCCCTCCCACCTTACTGGGCTCTGACACAACATGCTGGGGTGCCTACCAATAGTGATGCCTTCCTCGTCCTCATCCTACTTGGATTCCAGCATGTGCTGGTCTGCTCCTACTCTGGATTTTCTGCTTACCAGACTCAGCTCTAACACCCTGCGTCAGGCCACCACAGCTCAACCTACCTCCTTTCTACTTGACACCTTGACACATATTTGCATATGGTACTAACAATGGCAAAGAAGATAAATTACTTAATGATATTCAGAGTGAATTATTTAGGAAGAGAATAGGATGGAAAAGGGGATAAGATATAAATACTAAATCAAGTAGAAATAGGACTTTATGATCCTTTCAAGAGACTTTTCCCAAGTGAGTTATATTTTCCAAGTTCTGTGTAAAAGATATTCAGGAGTAATATGGGAGAGAAGGCTAAATATATTGGCTATTGCACTCCAAAGCAGAAAATCCTATGAAATATTTAAGTCTGGGAGCACTGAACACCAGCAGCTAACTTTCCAGGAATCAGAAACAGATTCTTTAGAGGATTACTTCCTGTGCAAAAAAAGCAAAAACAAAAAACAAAAACTAATATAGCAGGCCTCAGCCTGCTATCTTTAGAAAGGTAACTTGAGGCCGGGCTCAGTGGCTCACGATTGTAATCTCAGCACTTTGGAGGACCAAGGTGGGCGGATCACTTGAGGCCAGGAGTTCGAGACCAGCCCGGGCAACATGGCAAAACCCCCGTCTCTACTAACAGTACAAAAATTAGCTGGGCGTGGTGGCACATACCTGTAATCCTAGCTACTTAAGAGGCTGAGGTACGAGAATCCCTTGAAACTGGAGGCAGAGGTTGCAGTGAGCTGAGATAGTGCCACTGCATTCCAGCCTGGGTGACAGACCAAGACTCTGTCTCCTCCCCAAAAAATAAAATAAAATAAAATAAAATTAAATTAAAATATAAAATAAAATAAATTAGACTATTTAAAAGGTTGGCCGTTGGTTGACATCTGGAAACTTGATTCCCAGTCAATAGCTAACTGATAAAGGTGGTTCACTGTGCTTTGTCTGTGCAAACAATATGGCTTATACTGAACATCTACATTTCTTTTGAGAGGCAGGAATGTTAGTACATTCTAAGCAGAGGGTACCTGCATGACTAGCCTCCAGCTAGGTTTCTAATGAGCTTCACTGGGCAGAAACTTAGCACACATCACACATATTGCTGCATTTTGT
Source organism: Homo sapiens (assembly GCF_000001405.40). NCBI lineage: Eukaryota > Metazoa > Chordata > Mammalia > Primates > Hominidae > Homo > Homo sapiens. The sequence continues at coordinate 120,260,240 of NC_000007.14, read as the reverse complement.
TACTGGAAGAGGATACTGTGTGTGACACCTCATGGGAAGAAGAAAGCATAAGAAAATCACATGGATTCCTCCCAACACTGCACCTTTTCCCAGTGTGATCCAACTGTGTATCCTTACTACATTGCTGTAATAAATCTTTGTGGTGAGTACACCCAAATGCTGAATCCTGTGAGTCTTTCTAGGGAATCTATGAATGTGGGGGTGGTCTTGGGGACAGCCAACACATTCCTCAACTGAGTTTTTAAAACTAAGTCCAGTTTTATCAAGTTAAGATGAAATTCAGGAGAGAAAGCTGCCTGGAAATGACAGAAGACAGTATAGGATAAAGCATGGAAGTAAGAATCAACTCGATGTTGAGGAGCATGGTAGGATCCACACATAATTTGTCATTTCTGAAGCATTATGTTAAAGGAAGGCAGTGTCATAAAATATAAGCAGAAGGCAATACTCACAGGTCCTTAAGAAATATTGCTTCTTAACACTTTAGGAAGTATTCTGGCTGAGGAATAAGTAATGTTGAGATATTATCAATGGATGTTTGGTAAAATAAAAAAATAGGCTTTTATCATTAGTCATACATTTGAACAAACTTATTGGTGCTATTATTGTAAGTAATACACTGGAAATGCATTTACCATGGAGCTATCTGGTATTCTACATTTTTAGATGCTGAATCATATCAAAGTGCTTTCCAACTTAACAGTTGCAATAGACTATGACACATTTTTATCCTATTTATAAATTTTGATAATATGAGAAGAGGTAAATTCATAGGTGGTGGGTTAATTTTTTTATGTCAGGAATTTCCCGTAGGAGATAATTTCAAAGTGGTATATTAATAACCACGATTTAACATCAACCATAGAGTGCTTCTAATGTTTAAACCATAAATGTTATCACGTGACAAATTTTAAGGCACTTATAGCTAATGATTTGAATAAAATAAAATAAAAAATATTAACTTAAAAGAATATCATTTCATAAATATTTCTTTTTGTCCAAGATCTCATTTTCCTAAATGGGATGATGTTTTACATGTCTTAATAATTTTTTTAAATGCAATCCACATTATTTTATCTGAATTTATTGAGCCCAGTGATTATAAATGTTACTAATTAATAGTTTTATTAATTTTTAGGACATATATGAATCTCTGTGTGGGAAGTTTCCAAGATTTATCACAGATAAATTTATATTATAGAAATACAAAATGGCTAATAATATGGGACTCAGTGACTTTTCACTCAATAATTTTTCTCACGCTGATTTTTATTTGCCCTGACTGTTGAGTTAATGTGTCTTCTTCTCAGTCATACTTTGAATGAGCTATGCATCACAATGCAGATTAAATAATAAACATTTTTTATAGTGATGGAATTTTCCCCAGATGCCTTATGTGTTGCTTGGAAAAGATGTGCTTCATTGCAGGTCAGTAAAATGGAAAAATACATGACTGAATCTGAATCTTAGGATTTATAATGTCTGCAGGGACCTTTTCATTTAGGAGAAAACATTAAGAAAGACACAACCTACCTTGCAACCAATATTATGAATAAAGAAATCACGAGGGTAATTGCTTTAGAGAAAGTAACTTAGTACTTTTTGAATCAAAATTGCAAATATTATATGTTATTTTAAAAAGATGAAAATTCATTTTGGGGATGTTAAATCAATTCCTCTATTTCAGGTACTAGTAAAATATTAAATAAGCAAATACAGACAACTAAATAAAAAACATACACACTTAACAATGATGTTGAAGGTTAACATAAGATAACATATATTTGAAATTATACACGAATGTGAAAGTAATGTATATTAGATTTTAAGATTCTTACCGTTTTAAATACACGTTTTTGAACTTTTATGTATATTAACATTTTCATAAATTTAGATAATGTTCTGACAATTTTCACTTTGCAGAAATTTTGATTGTGTATATTTTTCAAAAGCCTTTATTATTCTTTTTTAGCCTTGATTTCTATATCTCTGTATTAGTTCATTCTAACATTGCTAGAAAGAACTACCTGAGACTCAATATTTATGAAGAAAAGAGGTTTAATTGCCTCACAGTTCTGCAGGCTTAACAGGAAGTATGCCTGGGTGGGGGGTGCTCAGGAAACTTAACAATCATGACAGAAGCCAATTGGAAGCAAGCACAACTTACCATAGCAGAGCAGGAGAGAGAGAGTGAAGGGGGAAGTGCCACACACATTTAAACCATCAGATCTCATGAGAACACACTATTAAGAGAACAGCAAGGGGGGCATCCACTTTTATGATTCAGTCACCTCCTACCAGGCCCCTCTTCATATTTGACACATGAGATTTGAGCAGGGACACAAATCCAAATCATATCATTGCACCCCGGCTCTTCCCAAATCTCATGTCCCTCTCCCATTACCAAATACAATTGTCCTTTCTCAACCGTCCCCCAGTATTAACTCATTTCAGCATTAACTCAATAGTCTACACTCCAAAGTCTCAGCTAAGACTTTGGTGCAAGGTAAGTCCCTTTCACCTATGAGCCTGTAAGGTCAAAAACAAGTTATTATAATTATTTCCAAGATACACTGGGTTTACAGGCATTGGATAAATGCCATTTTAAATGGAAGAAACTGGCCAAAATGAAGGGGCTAACAGACCCCATGCAAGTCTGAATCCCAGCTGGGCAGTCATTAAATCTTAAAGTTCCAAAATGATCTCTTTTGACTCCATGTCTCACATCCAGGGCATGATGATGCAAGGGGTGGGCTACCAAGGCCTACGGCAGCTCTTCCCCTGTGACTCTGCAGGGTACACTCCCTCCCATAGCTACTTTCAAGGGATGGCATTGAGGATCTGCAGCTTCTTCAGGTACACGATGCAAGCTGTTGGTAAATCTGCCATTCTGGGGTCTGGAAGACAATGGTCCTCTTCTCACAGCTCCACTAGGCAGTGCCCCAGTAGGGAATCTGTGTGGGGCTCCAACCCCACATTTGCCCTCTGCACTGCCCTAGTAGAGGTTTTCCATGAGGGCTCAACCCCTACAGCAGACTTTTACCTGGACATCCAGGCATTTCTATACATCCTCTGAAATCTAGGAGGAGGTTACCAAACGTTGATTCTTGCCTTCTGTGTACCTGCAGGCCCATCACCATGTGGAAGTGGCCAAGACTTGGGGCTTGCACCCTCTGAAGCCATGACCTGAGCTATACCTTGGCCCTTTTAGCTATGGCTGGAGCTGGGGTGACTGGGATGCAGGGCACCATGTCTCAAGGCTGCAAAGAATAGCAGGTCCCTGGGTCTGGCCCAAGAAACATTTTTTTTCTCCTAAGCCTTCAGACCTGTGATGGGTGGAGCTGCTGTGAAGATCTCTGAAATGCCCTAGAGACATTTTCCCCATTGTCTTTGTCATTAGCATTCAGCTCCTCTTTACTTATGCAAATTTCTGCAGCTGGCTGCTTGAATATCTCCCCAGGAAAAAATTTCTTTTTCTCCCACATGGTCTGGCTGCAAATTTTCCAAACTTTTGTCTGCCTCCCTTTTAAATGTAAGTTCTAGTTTTAGGTTATTCCTTTGTTTATGCAAAGGAGCATAGGCTTTTAGAAGCAGCCAGGTCTCATCTTGAATGCTTTGCTGCTTGGAAATTTTTTTTGCCAGATACCCTACATCATCTCTCTCAAGTTTAACATTCCACAGATCCCCAAAGCAGGGGAACAATGCTGCCAGTCTCTTTGCTAAAGCATAGCAAGAAAGACCTTTGCTCCAGTTCCCAATGTGTTCCTCATCTCCATATGAGAAGGCCTCAGCCTGAATTTCATTGTCCATATTACTATCAGCATTTTTGTCACAACCATTCAACAAGTTTCTAGTAAGTTTCAAACTTTCCCACAACTTCCTGTCTTCTTCTGAGCCCTCCAAAGTGTTCCAACCTCTGCCCATTATGCAGTTCCAAAGTAACTTCCACATTTTCAGTTATCTTTATAGCAGTACCCCACTTCTGGTACCAATTTTTGAATTTAGTCTGTTCTCACACTGCTATAAAGAACTACCTAAGACTGGGTAATTTATGAAGAAAAGAGGTTTGATTGACTCACAGTTCCACAGGCTTAACAGTAAGCATGGCTGGGAGGTGTCAGAAAACTTACAAGTGGCCAGGCGCAGTGGCTCACTCCTGTAATCCCAGCACTTTGGGAGGTCAAGGCAAGTGGATCACCTGATGTCAGGAGTTTGAGACCAGCCTGACCAACATGGAGAAACCACATCTCTGCTAAAAATACAAAAATTAGCCTGGTGTGGTGGCACATGCCTGTAATCCCAGCTACTTGGGAGGCTGAGGCAGGAGAATCACTTGAACCTGGGAAGTGGAGGTTGCGGTGAGCCGATATCATGCCATTGCACTCCAGCCTGGGCAACAAGGGTGAAAGTCTGTCTCAAAAAAAAAAAAAAAAAGAAAAGAAAAAAGAAAACTTACAAGCATAATGGAAGGCGAAGGGGAAGCAAGCACATCTTACCATGGCAGAGCAGGAGAGAGAGAGAGAAAGAGAGAAAGTGAGAGAGAGAGAGAGAGCACAAAGGGGGAAGTATCACACACTTTTAAACCATCAGATCTCATGAGAACTCACTATCACAAGAACAGCAAGGGTGAAATCTACCCCCACGATCCAATCATCTCCCACCATACCCCTCCTTCAATTTGACATGAGATTTGGACAGGGACACAAATCCAAACCATATCCATCTCTCATTATAAATTCACTGTTTTATGTACCAAGTCCATACTTTGGGCCGAGGTCTGTCTAAGCACTCATAATACAAAAGCCAACTAAACAGAGTAAGCTTGACTGTCCTGGAGGTCACATTCACATTATAAGGAAATGTTCTATTAATGCAAGATGTACCGCTTACGAATAATTTCATTTACTTTGTTCAGAATACTGTTGCCTTTTAACCACTTCAATACTATATGCCCCAAAACTACAAGTCATTTTCTTTTGTTCATTGTTCCATAATGTGGGTGGAAAGTCACATTATACACACATTGGTGAGGAAGTCATGTGATAAATGCACCTAACTAACAATTGGTAGCAGTTTTCAGGTGGGAGCTTGGGCAGGACTTAGGGCTCAAAGCCTCACCTCCTTTCCATGCAGATCTCTCCATGTGGTTTGGGCTTCCTCACAGTGTGATGGCTGAGTTCCAAGGGCACCTATCCAGAGCAAGAGCTAGACAGAAACTGTGTTGCTTAGATGACTAATTTTGGCTGTCACATAGTGTCACTATCAGTTTATTATTGCTTCAACAGGCCCATTCAAGGTCAAAGCGAGGGGAGTTCAATACTACCCTATAATGGCAGAGTGGCAAGATGCTAGAAGATGATGTGAAACTGGAAATATTATTGCAGTTGTTTCTGAAAAGTACAATCTATTACAACTGTAATGTATGGGAAAATATTACCATATTTCTGAGGTATAAGTTTTTGTAATGTTTATAAAATAATGAATGAACAGATACTAAAGATTTGAACTTTTTCAAAAAACCCCAGGCCTTATAGCACAAAAATGGTCTTTATGGAGGAGGTGCAGTTACAGCAACACATCAGGACTCATTACTCACATACTTATTCATAAACCATGGGATTGTATTAGTCTGTTTTTACACTAGTGTAAAGAACTTCCCTGAGACTGGGTAATTTATAAAGGAAAGAGGTTTAATTGACTTACAGTTCCACATGACCAGGGAGGCCTCAGGAAATTTACAATCATGGCAGAAGGGGAAGCAGGCATCTTCTTCACAAGGCGGCAGGGGAGAGAAGAGAGGGGAAATCACCACTTATAAAACCATCAGATCTGGTGAGAACTCACTATCATGAGAACAGCATGGAGGGAACTGCACCCATGATCTAATCACCTTCCACCAGGTCCATCCCTCAACACATGGGGATTATGGGGATAACAATTTGAGATGAGATTTGGGTGGGGACACAGAGCCAAACCATATCAGGTAAAATCAAGTATAAACCTCCATTCCTGTGTTCCATTTTAGTCATTGAAAGGATGTGGTTGCTTAAATGTAGTAAAACTCTATATGAGTAATGGTTTACTATTAGTAGAAATGGTAACTTGAATAAACTGGCCTGAAAGATAGACATTATAATAAAAGTTCACAGTTAGAATAAATATGAAAGGATATATATTAATACATTTGACTGTAAGAGTCAACACTAACACTTATGGGTGGGATTTTAAACTAGGTTTATCTTTTACACATAGACATGAGTAAAGATGCATACATCCATAAAAATCAAATAGTGATCCTGTGTTATACCAAAAATATCATTTGTCAATGTCTTATCACTGGAAGATAACATTATCTAGATTGTAGTTGAGTTAGAATCAATTATTTTTCCTTTCACCATACATTTATTGAGTGTTTATGATCAAGGGAATGTTTGTCACAGATTGTCAGATATGGCAGGGATCCTACCTCTAAGGCTCCTATAATATGGTAAAGGTAGCAAAAAATTAAGAATGGAACATATGAGCAATATATCACAGGAACACGGAGAAGAAAAAATGAATTCTGACCTAGGTGAGAAGATAAATACTTTCATCCGTTGAGATTGAGTGTTAGGATAATAATGAGAGGAACCATTTTTAGATAATAAAGTGGGAAATTTGGAGTGAGGGAAAAATGTCATTCCTTTCAAAAATAACAGTGTGGCCATTGGATCTATGATAAAAGGGTAAAAGAAGAATTTGAATTTGGATTTCTTCTGTGTTAAGGCAATTAAAATTTAGTAGTTACCCTTGTAAGTAAAGGTAAACTATTTGTAACAAGGTATAAAGTTACTCTCAAATCTATTAATTTTTCCTCATTCCTATTCTACTATGAACCCTCTTAGCTTTCTAAAATTGGCCTTCCTGCAACAGTTTCTTTTTCCTCCTGGATAAAGTCTGCAGTGCACAGTGATATTTTGGAAATTAAAGATTAAAGAAAAAGTTTTACTTCACTCCGCTTAATCTTTGTTTAAGAGCTCATCATCGCTTGGAGCATAAAGTTACAATATTATCTGCTATGGCCCCACTTAATTTTTTGCAACTGTGCACCTCCCTCCTCTTCCCCACAACCCCAAAACCACCATTAACGTACACATGCTGTAATATAGTCATGTCACAACACTGCAGATTTTAGTCTTGTTTTTGGTTGTTGTCATTGTTTGTTTGTTTCTTACTTCTTTGCACACATTGTGGCTGATTTCCTCTCATTTTAATGCCATTCCTCTCCTTTCTCTATCTGGCAACTTCTTATTCATATATATCCTACTCTTTACATTGTGTGCTTCCTCCCATGGAACCTTATATTTGTATAATCATATTTATCATATTTTACATTATGCAAGAATGAAATAGTATTTGTCTTTGCACCTCACATGACAGACAGAATAGGTGCTTTCTTCTGACCCTAAGTACAGTACTTTTTACTGCTTCATGCCACATTACCTCTTAAAAACAGGAAAACAGGGGAAGCATTTATCAAGTGACTACACATAATTTAAAACAAGCCAAGTTATAAAAAGGTAATAAAACATCATTTTAAAAAAAAACTTTGACTCTATCCATCATTTTAAAGCCACGTTTATAGGCATAGATATTAATGAGAGAATGTGGAATTAACTGAATGACCTAAATGGCACTATAAAAATAATTTACTAGTATAAGTTTAACACAAACATTCATTGCTTATATGTGGATTTCTGCTTCACAATTAACTAAGTTACTTGGAATTCAGGATGGTGAATGGTAATGCTATCTTTTCCAAATTTATTAGACTTGTATGAAACTCTCTGTCTTCAACACTTTGGTGGCATTACTCCTACCCATGAATAGAATATTGTTAGTGAATTTCCACTTATAGTAAAAAAATGTATTTTAGGAAAGAAAAATATAATTTGACTTCAAGTCACAAACTGCAGAGTGTCTAGACTCTACATAGATATATTCTCTCATCAATTTCTGTTTATAAAATATACTTGTCATTGAATTTTTATGTTTAGGCAGACTCTTACAATCTTTAGGCGGATTACATTAAGCTATTGAGCCCATTCAAATGTATGTCAATAGGGATATATTCAGCTATATACAATTTTACACTCATTTGAGCAAAATAGAAAAATCTGCAGAAAGCATACAACACATAAAACTGTAATGTTGGAGCTTGAAAAATTGAACAAGTGGATAATATAAGCAGTCATTAATGTACATTTAAAAAATCTTTAATAAAAACTACTATGACTAATCCTCAACTTACCAAAGGTTTTTGAATGAGATGTATAAAAAATACAGCAGATTGTAAACCACCCAGTCCAACAAAATCTTTTTAATATGTGTATTATTCAACTGGGAGCCACAGATAATCTAGATAATGCATTGAACAGTGGAAGTAATCAGCACCTCACAACATACTGTTTTCATTTTTATGGGGTAAAAACCTGGATGCACTGTGCTTTAGTCCTCAAATCATTTTCTGATGGGATATCAGTAAAACTGGCCTGAGTTTTTGACTTATATAACAATGTGCAAACACTTCTAATAAGAGCAAATGTAATCATTAAAAAACTATTATGATGACTTTAATTGATGGAAACAAAGTAAATGTTTTATATGCAAATAGTAATTATATGTCTTTTCTAGTCTAACCTATATTGCCATAGTCACTGACTTGTAATTAGTTCAATGCTTATGGACCCAGCAAAGGTGGTAATTTCTGGAAACAGAAAGGAGAAAGGGCAAATATTTGGAAGCAACTGAAATTCAAACATTTTTCATAAAATATCTCCATAAATCTCTATAAATTCCCATGAAAATATTTTTCAGGTTGGATACAGTCTAACTGTGGGACATTTACAGAGTTCTAATAACTTCTGTGTTTCTTTTCATATTCAAACAGGTTAATTTCATTTCATATACAGTAGAATGCAAGAATACCATGAACAGAGTATCTCTTCTAAATATAAACTTTAATAGCAGAACATTTATTTCTGAAGGAAACATGACAGCAGGAATGCGACAAAGACATGGGTTTTCTCCTCTGCTAAGTCTAATACTTGTATTTTGAGGTATCTTGGTATGTTGGTAGAGAGATGGGTTGTTTGAAAATGGGACTATGAAAACCAGCTTATCTTCAGCGCTGGCCTAAGTAGATGTCACGCCCACAGAACATGAAAGGATGTGATTGTAAAAGATATTGGTCTATAGAATTATTTCCTTGTAATAGCTTTATCTGGTTTTGCTATCAGAGTAATGCTGCCCGCATAAAATAAGGTTGGAACTGGTTCCTCTTCCTCTATTTTCAGGAAGAGATCTACTAGTGTATTATTATTTCTTCCTTAAATGTTTGACAAAATTCACCAATGAAGCCATCTTGGTATGGAGTTTTTTCTGTGGGAGGAAGTATTTAATTACAAATTCATTACAAATTATGTGTAAAGCTATTACCTTCTATTTAATATATATAAAATTATATGGACCAGTCATGGTGGCTCATGCCTGTAATCCCAGCACTTTGGGAGGCCGAGGTGGGCAGATCACTTGAGGTCAGGAGTTGGAGACCCGACTGGCCAACATGGTGAAACCTTGTCTCTACTAACAATATAAAAATTAGCCAGGTGTGGTGGCAGGCTATAATCCCTGCTACTTGGGAGACTGAGGCAGGATAATTGCTTGAATCTGGGAGGCGGAGATTGCAGTGAGCAGATATCATACCACTGCACTCCAGCCTGGGAGACAAAGTGAGACTCCATCTCAAAAAAAAAAAAAAAAAAGAAAGAAAAGCAATTGTATGGTATTTCACTTATATGAAATAGAAAGTGTTCATATCTATTGGTAATGAAATAATATTTGTCCATCAGGCAATTTGTCTATAATCTTCAAAGTTTCAAACAGTTATTGGGGATAAATTTGCTTATACTTATTTCACCCAATATGAGCAGAATCTGTAGTGATCTTCTGTCTATAATTCTTAATATTAAAAATGTGCCATCTCTTTTTATTTTGACAATTATAGCTACAGGTTTATAAATTGTACGGATTTTTCAATTTTGAGGGCTTTTTATCACCCTTCTCCACTGTGTACTCATTTGCATCTTCATTGATTTCTGCTATTTACTATTTTTTTTCTTTGCTTAGGTTAGGTTTAATTTTCTTTGTAAAGAATCTTATTAAGGCAAATGATCAGATTTCTTATTTTATGCATTTCTTATTTTTAAATGTAAGTGTATGTAACATACATTTTCTTATAGCGAATGCATTAGTTGCATCCCAGCTTCAGCTGCAAAATTTAATTTTGTTATATTAAATTTTCTGTTTGAGTTTACTTTTTCCTGAATTTCTCTTTACCCTACATGATATTTAGGGTAATATTTACCCTACATGATGTTTGTTAATTTCCAAAATTTGGCAATTCTCCAAGTAACTTTATTATTGATTTATTGATTAATTCCATTTTGGTTAGAGAATATACATTGCACGGCTAGGGTTCTTTAAAATTCATTATGATTTATGTTGTTAAATAGAATATGGATTATTTTGGTGAATTTTCCATGTGTAATTCAAAGAATTTGTATTCTGCTATGCTTTGGTGGAATGTACTATAGATACCAATTAAGACAATTTGAGTGATAGTTTTTTACTTTTTTCAGATCAGCTATATTCTTACTGATTTATCTGTACTTTATCCATTACTGAAGAGAGGGTGGTGAAATCTCAAAGTATAATTTTAATTTGTTTATTTCTCCTCAGTTATGTCCCTTTTTGCTTATGTATTTTGGAACTCACTTATTTGGTACATACACAACTGGGATTATATTGTCATCTTGATTGATTGATCTCTTGGTCATTATGAAATATCACTATTTCTGTTAACACTTTTGTTCTAAATTATATTTTGCCTGATATTAATATAGTGTTTCCAACATTTTATGTTAGCATTTGCATACTTTATATTTTTATTTTTCATTTAACTTATTTGTATCTTTCTATTTAAAATGCATTTTTTTCAGAGGCATTAGTTGAGATTGCTTTTTAAATGCAGTCTGAAAATCTCTGCCCTTTAACTGGAATTTTCAAACCATTAACATTTAATGTAACTTTGAATGTTTAGGTATAAATATACCATCTTGCTCTTTGTTTTCATTTTTTTCTAACTAGCATTTGTCTACTTTATCTCTTTCCCTACATTATTTTTTCATGACTTTAGTATTTTTCAAATATAATTTTATTTACACTATTGTTTTTAAAGGTCAATCTGTGTTTTATTTTAAAGTTATTTTTAACATTCAACTTTATTTTCATTATCAACTTATTATCTATAAATTTTTTTGTTAATACTGTTTAAGAGTGTAAGACATACATCTTTACCTAATTACAGTATGCCTTGAAATATTGTATCACTTCTCATATATGATACTTAAGCACCATACTTCCATTTTTACCCTCCTGTTTTCATGCAACTTTTGTCACAATGTTTGTTTCTACTTAAGTGACATGATCTTCAACGTATGCTTTTGGGCCTTTTAAAGGAATTAGAAATAATGAAAACTATTTTTGTTTACTCACATATTTATTATTTTAACAGTCTTTATTTCTTTCAGGAAATACAACTTTCTGTCTGTTATCATTTTCTTCCCACCCAAGGAACTTCCTTTAACAGTTCTTGTGATGTTTGTCTGTCAATGACACATCCATTTAGCTTTTATCAAAATTTTTTTTACTTCACATTTATTTTTGAAGTAATTTTTTATTATATACAGTATTCAATGTACACATTCCTGTTTGCCTATAAAGTTGACTTTAATTCTTTTTCAATTTGTAAGACTTTTATTTTGCCAGGCTTTTACTTTTAGTACTCTAAAGCTATTCCATTGTCTTTTGGCTTGCATAGTTTGTTTAAGATGTCTGTGATTATTTTTATTTTTCATATAGGGTTCACTGTACATAATGATTTAGTAATTTTTTTCTGGCCTCTTGTAAGAATTTCTGTTTATCTTTGGTTTTAGAAATTTAATTTTGCTGTGGTGTGTATGTGTGTGTGCCCTGCCTAGGGCTCATTGAGCTTTTGGATCTGTGGGTTTACTAATTATTTTAGCATAGTTAGAAGAATTTTTACTATTATGTCTTTACATACTTTCCTGCCAACTCTTCTTCCTAAGAATATATTTGTATATATGATAGACAACTTGATATTTTCCTATGGGCCACTAAAACTGTGTTCCTTTTTCATTCTTTATTACTCTGTTTCATTTTGGATAGTTTCTATTGCTGCCTTTAAGATTATTGATTTTTTTGTAATATCTGATTTGCTATTAAATCCTATCTCGTTATTGTATATTTCACATTAAAAAATTCCATTAGGCATTTCTTATATTTTCCATTTATTTTTCTCAATAGGTTCACGTTTTTATTTAAGTATTTTAACACATTTGTAATAAATTTTTTAACATCTTTGTCTTTTAGTACCACCATCTTTGATACTTCTGGGCCTTTTTCTATTGGCTGTTATTTTTCTTTTGGTTATGGGTCACATTTTCTTGCTTCTTTCCTTTAAAGTATATTTTGATTGTATGCTGTAGACTGTGAGTGTTTTATAGTTGTATTTCTAGATTTTGCTGTATCTTTAAAGAATGTCAGTTTTAACTTTTTATGTATTTAAATTATTTGCAGACTCTTTGATCCCTTTGAAGTCTGTATTTACTCATTGCTCATGCATGGCTAGCATAGGCTTTGTTCTAGGGAGCGCTCAGCACTACTACTAAGGCACTGATCCTCTGGCTACTTTGCTGAATGCCCTGCCTGGTCTTAACCAAAATGTTTATGAAATGTTGGTGGTAAAGTGGAAGCAATTAGGCACTGTATTAATTTTTTATTCCTGAATAACAAATTGCCACTAATTTAGCACTTAACATAATATTTATTTATTATACCATAGTCTGCTGGTCAGAAGGTCAGCACAGTGTGATCATGTTTTCTGCTCAGGGTATCACAAAGCTGAAATCAAGTCATTGGCTAGGCTACATTCTTGCCTGGAGGCTCTGGGAAAAATCTACTTCTAACCTCATTCCTGTTGGTAGAATGCAGTTCCTTGACATATATAAGGCTGATAAACCCATATTACTGATTGTGAGCCAGTGCTGTCTCGATTCTTATAAGCCAATTATTTTCCTTGTCGTGCAGTCCTCTCCATCTTGGAACAAGCAGTAGGGCATGAAGTCTCTCTCATATTTTTCATGCTTTTTGTGAATTATATTTCTGTGACCAGTTAGATAAAACTCTCTGCTTTAAAGAGCTTTCTTGAATAAGTTAGACCCACCTGGGTAAACTAACTTTCTTAAAGTCCACTGTGCCGCATAATACAATGATGGACTATAATCCATCATGTACACGGTTCTGTGGATTATGTTCACCCCAGAATGGAGAAATTTCAAGGCCATCTTAGAATTCTACCTACCACAGCACTAAAGTGTGAATTTTTTGTTTTTGTTTTTTTAAGTGGAAAAGATTAAAAGTTGTATCATGAGAATGTATATAGTGTGTGTATCTCTTTTGGAGCAGTAGGAGATGATGGAAACATTGAGGCCACTGATCTGACTAAAGCGTGATTTATCTTTCTTGAAAATACTAAGAAAAATGGGATTGAATTTATGAAATATCTTGAAAGTCAGGCAAGGACTTCTGGCCTTGATGTAATTGTTAATAAAAAGTTCAAAAAGCTGGGCACGGCAGCTCACACCTGTAATATCAGCACTTTGGGAGGCCAATGGGGGAGTATTTCTTGAGCTCAGGAGTTTGAGGCCAGCCTGGGCAACATAGTGAGACACCATCTCATTTTGTTTTAAATTAAAAAATAAAAAGTTCAAAAGCAGGGACAAGGTATGATAACAGATTTGTTTTATGAACATTAGTCTGAAGACAGGATAAATTGGAGAAGAAAAATCTGGGGCTTTAGTACCAGAGATCACTTATCATTTTTTTGCCTTTTAGTGAATTCACTGACATTTACAGAACAAAGGGAATTTTAAGTCATTTCCATAACATGTAAAATATCTCAGCCTTAGTATTATATAAACATATGATTTAGATTTTTTCCCACTATTTAGTAGAGTGTTTTCTTCTTGTTCTGTGGTTTAATGTTCTACTAAAATGTTTCCATTGAAGAGCAGTGGTAGCAACCTTGAGCAAGTTATCTAGTCCCTGCCATTTCCACATTTCCGTGACTGTTAAATGGGCTAAAGGGGGTGGCTTCCAGAAAGGTCTAACACAGAGCCTGACACTTAAATGACCTCAAGACTATATTGCTTCAGACTTTTGATATACTCTCTCAAATATTATTGAGCATCGGCTACATGACAGAGAGCATTCTATGCAGTGAAGGTGCAGCAGTGAACAAAATAAAGTTGCTGACTTCATGGAATACATAGTCTTCTGTGATGAGAAAATAAACAGGTAAATAAATACATAAATATAAATACAAAAAGTATGGATAAATTCTATGAAGACAATGAAGAAAGAATGGAGAAAGTGGAGACAGACCCACAGATACAGACACACACACACACACACACACACACACACACACACGAGAGAGAGAGTGATTTTTAGCTAGGGAGGTCAGGGTGGACCCCTCCAGTAATGTGCCCTTCAAGCAGAGAACTTAAAGAAGTAAGAGAAAAGTAAATGTGAATATTTGGAAACAGAGTGTTCCAGGAAGATAAGAGAAAATTCTAAAGCCAAGAGAAAAGGGCCTCATTAGCATTTTTAAGCAAGAACAGGGAGACCAGCATGCTTGGAAATGAGTAAGAAAGGAACAGAATGATATGGGATAAAGACAAATTGGTAAGAGAGACAGGTTCAGATTAACAGGGTGTTGTGGCCATACAAATACTTAGACTTTTACCCTGAATATTCTGGGGAAACACTGGTCAGTAGAGAGGAGGCATTATATGATAAACTCACATGCTGGATATCAGGTTCAATTATATATATATATATATTCCCCCTTGAAGTTACCATTGAGAAACACAGGTGTCTGATAACATTGAAGTATTAGTTTTAGAGATGTGGTGGGATTTTTATGGTTTTGCGTTTTTTTGCACTACCATTAAATGCTTATGTTACATAAATGCTTATGTTTCTCCATCTCCCTCATGCTTCTGGATTACAGTTATCTTTATGGGAATGTGACCTGTGCAAATTGTATCATTCTGGTTTAATGCTCTGCAGTAACTGTCTTTAAATCCTTAATTATTACATTGTGATTTGATGTTTTGTAAGTGAAATATGATGGGTAAATGGTTCATGTGAATGACCAGAAGATATGCACAGGAGAAATAAAAATGTTTTATACTTTAGTGCCTTTTTCTGTTTTTCTGAATAAGAGCCCCATATTTTCATTTTGCACTGGGGCCCATCAATTATGTAGCTGGTCTTGCTTATTTAACCTTAGTTCCCAGCTTTTCTTCCTTATATGGATGAAGGATCAGATGAGGGCATTTTATTAAATACTATAATGGACACAAAGGAATAATTGCTCCATTCAGGTATTTTTGGGGAATAAAATTTTACACTCTCCCATCAAATATTTAAGTAGAATAAACACTTGGGCTACAGAGAAAAAGAAGGTAAGACTTCACTTCTGGGCAATTTACACCTACAAAAGGGCTCAGCTCTTTATTGACCTTGTATCCTACTAATTCTTTTTGCAAGGTATGGGACTGTAAACATCTTAAATAATCATGACTTATTAATTATCTTTTGAATATGTATTTTTGCTGAGTCCTCTTCTAAACACTTTGAGAGTGAGCATTAACTCATTTCAGCAATAACTTTATGAAGTAGGTATTGGTAGAATTCCCATTAAATAGATGAAGAAATAATTAAACAGATAGATTAAAATACATTTCCAAGATTATACAACCAGAAATTAGTGGCAAAGCCATAAAATAAAATGGTGCCAGGCCAGAACCTATACCCTAAATCTTATTCTGCACTAAACAATAACACAGCTAGCAAAACAGTTCCATGGGAGTTTAGGAGAGAAAGTTGTTTTCTGTGCTGACCTTAGAAGCAAAAGTCAGTCCTCGCCAGACACAATTATGAAAGAATAGAGGCAAGGAAACATTGTTATTCATCATTTTAATGACATATATGTATAACTTAGAAGCTGAAAAGAAACTTAGTTGTTACCTAGTGCAAGTCACTCTTTAAAATTAAGAACATGGGACACAAACAATAATTGATTCTAAAAAGTTAACACAGCTAATTAGAGAGAAGTTTGGGAATAAAACTGTTTCCTGATTTCTGCTCCACAGCAGTTACTCAAAACCTCCTACTTTGCACACATACTGGACAGATTGTTCTATTATGTGCTATTTGCACAAGTCTCAGTCTTCTCCAACAGTGCTGTTCATCATTCTGAGGGCAGGAACTGCAGAATATTGACTACAGTTCCCAGAACAAAGATAAATTATACCTACCAGATGACCAAGGATGTTATCTTGTAGTGTTTGCTCTTTTGTTGTGTTATATTTAAGAAATCAACAAGTACGGTACATTAATTTCAATTAATGAAATGTAAGAAATTTCATTTCATAAAATTTTGAGTATATAGCATAAGCTGTGATCTATTCCAGGTGACAGAAATACAAAGGTGAATTGTATATGATAATTCAAAACAGAGTTACTGGAACACATCATCCTGCCTTGCTATTTGATGGCTTTGCTTAGAATGCCCTCTCCAATAATATCTGTAATAATTTCAACTGCTTTAACCTCTCAGAACCCTTCCTTTACCCCAGAGCTGAGGTGGATGGAGCTTAAAATTATGTTCTTTCTATACCCCATCTGCCTTGTTCCCACCTCCATTGTAGCACTTAGCATACCATATTGTGTCCTGTTTATAAAAGCTTACCACTCCTGCTAGGCTTGAACATTGGGAGGTCACTCGCAAATTTTCATATTTAAATTTGCATCCTCATCCAAACACAACTGAACCCAAGCAAAATAACTGATACATAATAGTTACAGAATATGCATGCATTGAATGAATTAAGCAATGTTAAATAAATATTAATATGTTTTGATCTCAATAGATAAATGAACTTAAAAATTTGGGAAAAGTGCTTTTCAAAAACCATTGAATTAAACTGATAATGTAATAATAAAGTACTGACTGTTTACTTGGTTCTTGTTTCTTCTCCTTCCTTTTAAGATTATCAATAAATCGTGAGACTTGTGTAGATTAAATCAATAAAAGCAGATTTTACCTTAATTTGAGGTTGAAACAGTTCCAACACTCATTTCTGAATGGATCATTGAGTGCATGGAATGTATCATTTGGATAATCTAACACAAATTTATTGAAATGGCTTCATGTCTACTGAGCTGGAATTTAAATGGCATGCGGATGAACCAGAATAGAGACACCAAGTAAGCAGAGAAAGTGGAAATCCTGAGACATTATTTAAAGGAAGAAATGGTGAAATTGATTGGCAGGTTGGATAAGGCAAAATAATGTAGGAGACAGGAAATGGACTAGTGTCTAACCTCAGCAATCAGAAGAGTGATAGACCATTAAGGAACAGGAAAAGATACATACCCTGGGAAGAAAGACAAGTTTATATATGGACATGCTTATTTTGATATAGCAGCTGATCATTCATATACATACATACACATTTGATTTCTCCAGAAAACCCACTAAAACAATAAAAGGATACATTTACTAAGATATAGATTCACAAGATCAGAAAAAAAGGAAAGGAAACCTTGCCAACACAATTTTCGAAACTGAATTGCAGAAATACAAGTGTTAAGTTAACTAGCATTCCTGTTAAAAGTAAAATTTAAACCAGCAATAGGGAATACCAAGAAACAATCAAGTTTATATCACATAATCCCCAAAACTCTTGTCACTTACAGGTTTTTCTGAAAATGAGAGAGATTTGAAATCAGGAGAATTATTTTAAGGCTGTTTCACAAGCAGTCAGGTTCCTAGTTCACTCTCAACTTATTGCAGCTGGGTGACTTCCCCTGCCAGACACCAAGAGCAGAGCAGAAGAGCAGGTAAATCAGAACATGCTCTGTTTTTTTCTCTGTGTTTCACATACAAGCTATATTTTTCCTTCTGCGTCTGGCTTATTGCATGTAGAGTGTCCTCCAGGTCCATCTATATTGTGGCAAATGGTAGGATCATCTTTTTAAGGCTGAATATTTGTGTGTGTGTGTGTGTGTGTGTGTGTGTGTGTGTGTGTGTGTGTGTATGCAGTTGTCCCTCAGTATCCATGGAGAATTGGATCCAGCATGCCTGCAGATGCCAAAATCCAAGGATGCTCAAGTCCCCTACATAAAATGGCATAGTATTTGCATATAATCTTCACATATCCTTGGTCTTCAGTGTAGCTACATCACTTGGATAGAAAACTTAAAGGTTTAAACTACAGTGGTTTTCTAAATAATAAATTGCCCAATTTAAATATTTACTTCCTGTAGTAATCATATTGAAGCTTTAATTCCTTGTTAAATGAGAAGCACAGTGACAAATATTCATCTCTTTCAATAGCCCCCCAAAATTTTAAACAGTACCTCCTTTAAAGTGGTAATTGTTGAAAATTACTGAAATATATTAGAAAGTTAAAATTCTTTAATGATAATTTCAAAATTAGATTTTATCATGATGCTACATTAGTTTTTTTGGATATATGATTTTATTTTACTACTGTTATAGTAGATATATTATTAAAGTGTAATTGTTTTTAAGTGTTCAAAATAAAAGAACCCAAATTTAACTTTCAATTTTTATGGGAAAAAAATAGAAAGAGAAAGAGTTATGTTGGGGGCAAAGCCTCCAGTTTCCCTCTCCAGTCTATAGGTGTTTATCAGTTAGGCCATGCTATACATTTTATGTTCATTCTGATTTTTAACATAATGTTATATAATGAGAATTATTCCATGTTATGATATATTTAGAAAAACAAGATGAACAATTTATTAGTTTTTAATAATAGAAGAGATAAAACTTATTTGAGAATTGTATCCAGGTACAGTGACTACTAATCAGAACTTGATTACATTTTTCAACATACAATATTAATGCATAAAAATAAAATGAAATACTTAATTTGGAATGGCATGTAAAGCATAGGAGATGGGAGAGTGACCTGTTTTGTATCTTAGGCTCCACTGCTTGCTAATTGTACCTAAGTCAATCAACAAAAAATCAGATTTTAGACTCCAGGAGCCAAGATGGCCGAATAGGAACAGCTCCAGTCTACAGCTCCCAGTGTGAGCGAGGCAGAAGATGGGTGATTTCTGCATTTCCAACTGAGGTACTGGGTTCATCTCACTGGGGTGTGCCAGACAGTGGGTGCAGGACAGTGGGTACAGCGCACCATGCACAAGCCGAAGCAGGGCAAGGCATCACCTCACCTGGGAAGCACAAGGGGTCAGGGAATTCCCTTTCCTAGTCAAAGAAAGGGGTGACAGATGGCACCTGGAAAATCAGGTCACTCCCACCCTAATACTGTGCTTTCCCAATGGGCTTAAAAAATGGCACACCAGGAGATTATATCCCACACGTGGCTCAGAGGGTCCTATGCCCACGGAGTCTCGCTCATTGCTAGCACAGCAGTCTGAGATCAAACTGCAAGGCAGCAGCGAGGCTGGGGGAGGGGCGCCCGCCATTGCCCAGGCTTGAGTAGGTAAACAAAGCAGCCCGGAAGCTTGAACTGGGTGGAGCCCACCACAGCTCAAGGAGGCCTGCCTGCCTCTGTAGGCTCCACGTCTGGGGGCAGGGCACAGACAAATAAAAAGACAGTAGTAACCTCTGCAGACTTAAGTGTCCCTGTCTGACAGCTTTGAAGAGAGTAGTGGTTCTCCCAGCACACAGCTTGAGATCTGAGAATGGGTAGACTGCCTCCTCAAGTGGGTCCCTGACCCCCGAGTAGCCGAACTGGGAGGCACCCCCCAGTAGGGGCGGATTGACACCTCACACGGCCGGGTACTCCTCTGAGACAAAACTTCCAGAGGAACAATCAGGCAGCAGCATTTGCGGTTCACCAATATCTGCTGTTCTGCAGCCACTGCTGCTGATACCCAGGCAAACAGGGTCTAGAGTGGACCGCTAGCAAACTCCAACAGACCTGCAGCTGAGAGTCCTGTCTGTTAGAAGGAAAACTAACAAACAGGAAGGACATCCACACCAAAAATCCATCTGTACATCACCATCGTCAAAGACCAAAGGTAGATAAAATCACAAAGATGGGGAAAAAACAGAGCAGAAAAACTGGAAACTCTAAAAATCAGAGCACCTCTCCTCCTCCAAAGGAACGCAGCTCCTGACCAGCAACGGAACAAAGCTGGACGGAGAATGACTTTGATGAGTTGAGAGAAGAAGGCTTCAGACGATCAAACGACTCTGAGCTACATGAGGAAGTTCGAACCAATGGCAAAGAAGTTAAAAGCTTTGAAAAAAAAATTAGACAAATGGATAACTAGAATAACCAATGCAGAGAAGTCCTTAAAGTACCTGATGGAGCTGAAAACCAAGGCACGAGAAATATGTGACGGATGCAGAAGCCTCAGTAGTCGACGCGATCAACTGAAAGAAAGGGTATCAGTGATGGAAGGCGAAATGAATGAAATGAAGTGAGAAGAGAAGTT
This sequence comes from Homo sapiens, assembly GCF_000001405.40. NCBI lineage: Eukaryota > Metazoa > Chordata > Mammalia > Primates > Hominidae > Homo > Homo sapiens. The sequence goes on along the minus strand of NC_000007.14, from coordinate 120,239,549 downwards.
TAGAGAAAAAAGAATAAAAAGAAATGAACAAAGCCTCCAAGAAATATGGGACTATGTGAAAAGACCAAATCTACGTCTGATTGGTGTACCTGAAAGTGACGGGGAGATTGGAACCAAGTTGGAAAACACCCTGCAGGGTATTATCCAGGAGAACTTCCCCAGTCTAGCAAGGCAGGCCAACATTCAAATTCAGGAAATACAGAGAATGCCACAAAGATACTCCTCGAGAAGAGCAACTCCAAGACACATAATTGTCAGATTCACCAAAGTTGAAATGAAGGAAAAAATGTTAAGGGCAGCCAGAGAGAAAGGTCGGGTTACCCACAAAGGGAAGCCCATCAGACTAATAGCTGATCTCTCAGCAGAAACTCTACAAACCAGAAGAGAATGGGGGCCAATATTCAACATTCTTAAAGAAAAGTATTTTCAACCCAGAATTTCATATCCAGCCAAACTAAGCTTCATAAGTGAAGGAGAAATAAAATCCTTTACAGACAAGCAAATGCTGAGAGATTTTGTCACCACCAGGCCTGCCCTACAAGAGCTCCTGAAGGAAGCACTAAACATGGAAAGGAACAACTGGTACCAGCCACTGCAAAAACATGCCAAATTGTAAAGACCATCAAGGCTAGGAAGAAACTGCATCAACTAACGAGCAAAATAGCCAGCTGACATCATACTGACAAGATCAAATTCACACATAACGATATTAACTTTGAATGTAAATGGGCTAAATGCTCCAATTAAAAGACACAGACTGGCAAATTGGACAAAGAGTCAAGACCCATCAGTGTGCTGTATTCAGGAAACCCATCTCACGTGCAGAGACACAGATAGGCTCAAAATAAAGGGATGGAGGAAGATCTACCAAGCAAATGGAAAACAGAAAAAGGCAGAAGTTGCAATCCTAGTCTCTGATAAAACAGACTTTAAACCAACAAAGATCAAAAGAGACAAAGAAGGCCATTACATAGTGGTAAAGGGATCAATTCAACAAGAAGAGCTAACTATCCTAAATATATATGCACCCAATACAGGAGCACCCAGATCATAAAGCAAGTCCTTAGAGACCTACAAAGAGACTTAGACTCCCACACAATAATAATGGGAGACTTTAACACCCCACTGTCAACATTAGACAGATCAAGGAGGCAGAAAGTTAACAAGAATACCCAGGAATTGAACTCAGCTCTGCACCAAGTGCAACTAATAGACATCTACAGAACTCTCCACCCCAAATCAACAGAATATACATTATTTTCAGCACCACACCACACCTATTCCGAAATTGACCACGTAGTTGGAAGTAAAGCACTCCTCAGCAAATGTAAAAGAACAGAAATTATAACAAACTGTCTCTCAGACCACAGTGCAATCAAACTAGAACTCAGGATTAAGAAACTCACTCAAAACTGCTCAACTACATGGAAACTGAACAACCTGCTCCTGAATGACTACTGGGTACATAACGAAATGAAGGCAGAAATCAAGATGTTCTTTGAAACCAATGAGAACAAAGACACAACATACCCGAATCTCTGGGACACATTCAAAGCAGTGTGCAGAGGGAAATTTATAGCACTAAATGCCCACAAGAGAAAGCAGGAAAGATCTGAAATTGACACCCTAACATCACAACTAAAAGAACTAGAAAAGCAAGAGCAAACACATTCAAAAGCTAGCAGAAGGCAAGAAATAACTAAGATCAGAGCAGAACTGAAGGAAATAGAGACACAAAAAACCCTTCAAAAAATTAATGAATCCAGGAGCTGGTTTTTTGAAAAGATCAACAAAATAGATAGACCGCTAGCAAGACTAATAAAGAAGAAAAGAGAGAAGAATCAAATAGACTCAATAAAAAATGACAAAGGGGATATCACCACCGATCCCACAGAAATACAAACTACCATCAGAGAATACTATAAACACCTCTACGCAAATAAACTAGAAAATCTAGAAGAAATGGATAAATTCCTCGACACATACATCCTCCCAAGACTAAACCAGGAAGAAGTTGAATCTCTGAATAGAACAATAACAGGCTCTGAAATTGAGGCAATAATCAATAGCTTACCAACCAAAAAAAGTCCAGGACCATATGGATTCACAGCCGAATTCTACCAGAGGTACAAGGAGGAGCTGGTACCATTCCTTCTGAAACTATTCCAATCAATAGAAAAAGAGGGAATCCTCCCTAACTCATTTTATGAGGCCAGCATCATCCTGATACCAAAGCCGGGCAGAGACACAACCAAAAAAAGAGAATTTTAGACCAATATCCTTCATGAACATTGATGCAAAAATCCTCAATAAAATACTGGCAAACCAAATCCAGCAGCACATCAAAAAGCTTATCCACCATGATCAAGTGGGCTTCATCCCTGGGATGCAAGGCTGGTTCAACATACGCAAATCAATAAATGTAATCCAGCATACAAACAGAACCAAAGACAAAAACCACATGATTATCTCAATAGATGCAGAAAAGGCCTTTGACAAAATTCGACAACCCTTCATGCTAAAAACTCTCAAGAAATTAGGTATTGATGGGACGTATCTCAAAATAATAAGAGCTATCTATGACAGACCCACAGCCAATATCATACTGAATGGGCAAAAACTGGAAGCATTCCCTTTGAAAATGGGCACAAGACAGGGATGCCCTCTCTCACCACTCCTATTCAACATAGTGTTGGAAGTTCTGGCCAGGGCAATCAGGCAGGAGAAGGAAATAAAGTGTATTCAATTAGGAAAAGAGAAAGTCAAATCGTCCCTGTTTGCAGATGACATGACTGTATATCTAGAAAACCCCATCATCTCAGCCCAAAATCTCCTTAAGGTGATAAGCAACTTCAGCAAGGTCTCAGGATACAAAATCAATGTACAAAAATCACAACCATTCTTATACACCAATAACAGACAAACAGAGAGCCAAATCATGAGTGAACTCCCATTCACAATTGCTTCAAAGAGAATAAAATACCTAGGAATCCAACTTACAAGGGATGTGAAGGACCTCTTCAGGGAGAACTACAAACCACTGCTCAAGGAAATAAAAGAGGATACAAACAAATGGAAGAACATTCCACGCTCATGGGTAGGAAGAATCAATATGGTGAAAATGGCCATACTGCCCAAGGTAATTTATAGATTCAATGCCATCCCCATCAAGCTACCAATGACTTTCTTCACAGAATTGGAAAAAACTACTTTAAAGTTCATATGGAACCAAAAAAAGAGCCCGCATTGCCAAGTCAATCCTAAGGCAAAAGAACAAAGCTGGAGGCATCACACTACCTGACTTCAAACTATACTACAAGGCTACAGTAACCAAAACAGCATGGTACTGGTACCAAAACAGAGATATAGACTAATGGAACAGAGCAGAGCCCTCAGAAATAATGCTGCATATCTACAACTATCTGATCTTTGACAAACCTGAGAAAAACAAGCAATGGGGAAAGGATTCCCTATTTAATAAATGGTGCTGGGAAAACTGGCTAGCCATATGTAGAAAGCTGAAACTGGATCCCTTCCTTACACCTTATACAAAAATTAATTGAAGATGGATTAAAGACTTAAATATTAGACCTAAAACCATACAATCCCTAGAAGAAAACCTAGGCAATACCATTCAGGACATAGGCCTGGGCAAGGACTTCATGTCTAAAACACCAAAAGCAATGGCAACAAAAGCCAAAATTGACAAATGGGATCTAATTAAACTAAAGAGCTTCTGCACAGCAAAAGAAACTCCCATCAGAGTGAACAGGCAACCTACAAAATGGGAGAAAATTTTTGCAGTCTACTCATCTGACAAAGGGCTATCATCCAGAATCTACAATGAACTCAAACAAATTTACAAGAAAAAAACAAACAACCCCATCAACAAGTGGGCGAAGGATATGAACAGACACTTCTCAAAAGACGACATTATGCAGCCGAAAGACACATGAGAAAATGCTCATCATCACTAGCCATCAGAGAAATGCAAATCAAAACCACAATGAGATACCATCTCACACCAGTTAGAATGACAATCATTAAAAAGTCAGGAAACAACAGGTGCTGGAGAGGATGTGGAGAGATAGGAAGACTTTTACACTGTTGGTGGGACTGTAAACTAGTTCAACCATTGTGGAAGTCAGTGTGGGATTCCTCAGTGATCTGGAACTAGAAATACCATTTGACCCAGCCATCCCATTACTGGATATATACCCAAAGGATTATAAATCATGCTGCTATAAAGACACATGCACACGTATGTGTATTGTGGCACTATTCACAATAGCAAAGACTTGGAACCAACCCAAATGTCCAGCAACGATAGACTGGATTAAGAAAATGTGGCACATATACACCATGGAATACTATGCAGCCATAAAAAATGATGAGTTCATGTCCTTTGTAGGGACATGGATGAAACTGGAAACCATCATTCTCAGTAAACTATCACAAGGACAAAAAACCAAACACCACATGTTCTCACTCATAGGTGGGAATTGAACAATGAGATCACATGGACACAGGAAGGGGAACATCACACTCTGGGGACTGTTGTGGGGTGGGGGGAGGGGGAGGGATAGCATTAGGAGATATACCTAATGTTAAATGAGTTAATGGGTGCAGCACACCAACATGGCACATGTATACATATGTAGCAAACCTGCACTTTGTGCATATGTACCCTAAAACTTAAAGTATAATAATAATAAAATTAAAAATAAAAGTAAAAATAAAAAAATTTAAAAAATTTTAAAAATCAGATTTTAAATGGTTACATGTTTACTGATCACGTGTAGATGCCATATTTTATATAGCCAATTCCATATTGATGAATATTTAGATTGATTCTAATTTGTCAATATTAAAACAAATGTGAAAAATCATTGCATATAAACACGGCACTAACCTGCAATTTTGTTCATTTATTCCTGAGACACTATTTCTGCTGCTCTTCCTGTTTACGCAGTTTTTTACATAGGGGCAAATATGGAAAGACAGTGATTCATAATGAAAAGAAAATGGCAAATCAAAGAGATCAAGGTTGAAATTCTCACTCTTTCTAGGTGTTTCAATATGGTAAATGTAGATCTTATTTCTTAAAATAATAATGTAAGCAACTCATAACTTTATACGTAATTCTGTCACTCCTCCCACCAGAGGTTCCTGTATATATACATGTGAGGACACAACATGTCAAGAGTTTCTGGGAAGTGTGGTATCTGATAAAACCAGGTGATTCAATGGTGATGTGCCTCCTATTGTACCCTCTTTGCTATAAAGTGGTTCCTTAGTTCAAGAATTCAATGATTATATTCAGTCTATGTCAGTGGATCAAATGTTTTCTAAGCTCAAAAGGCAAACTTATGTTTAAGATATATATCATTTCCATTCAAAATTAACTATTGCCTTTTTCAGGGTAAAAGGAGTCTAATGTAATCAATGTGCCACCAAATGGCTTTTTATTTTATTTTATTTTATTTTTTTATTTTTATTTTTTTGGTAGACACCATATCCAGATTTAGTGTTGGTCTCTGTGGCAAGCAACTTATATGTTTAGCAACAGGAGTAATGGAATCAGCTTTATGGAGTGGGCAGTCATGCAGCTGTCACCATGAGTATCTTTCATCCTTACCACCATGGTTCTTTGTTAATTTATTATGTCTAGGTTAGACAGTGACAGAGACTGGCTGATCATGTCAGATTACTAGTCAGGTAATTCTGCCTTCCTAGTTGTTTAGTGCCCCTTCTGTAGCAGATACTCTGGTGAGAGTAAATAAGCAAAACAAAGAACCTCGCCCTTTGTGCCAACTTCAATGTCTGCAACATGCCTCTTCCCTAGACCTCCTTATCATTTATCTTCAAATTTTTCTCTTTCCAGGCCTGAGACCAATTAGCCAAGCCAGTTGTCACTGTATGTATTTTTATATGTTTTTCCTTGGGCCATTTATCATTCCATACAAAGTGCTGACTAAGCATACCACCTGAAGCTTTGCCTATTCAGAGACTCCTCCTTACTTCTGTCTTTCGATGGGGCTAGAATATAACAGCAGACTATTTTTAGCCTGCATTCTTGTACTGAGAAAACCTATCTATGCACAAAGCTTGTTCTTTTTCCTCTTTTGTCACCTGGTGATTTGAGACTTTACTCCACCTCATGTGGCCATAGGTGAGATGGGAAAGAGAGATGTCAGTGCAACAGTGGTAAATGACATGGGGATCTGGGCAACATGCTTACGCCATTATCTTGTGCCTCTGTCCCTGGTTTTTCCCAGTCCTAGATGAACACATTCATCTTACAAAGAGTGGCTGCTGGCCTTGCAATCATGATTTGGTGGATCTGGCTAACCCAGCTCAAGATGGATGGGTAATTCTGGGCAGCATGGTCATTTACTGTCCTACAGCCAACAGCTTTATCTTTGCCAGACTCCAGCAGAATGCTAGGACCTGTTCTGAGAATGGTTTATAATTTTCTATGGCAGATGGACTCACTTTGCTCCAGAATTGTAAGGATCTATGTTGTGATTTTCCTACTGAGGTTTGACATAGAGTCCACACTGTATGATTCTCTAACATCTGAGAATCTGCTGAGATATGTGACACAAGATTCTGGGCCACTTGTACCAGAACCTGAACCTGCCTGGGTCCTACACAAAGCTGGCAGTTTTCATGTTTATTATTGAACAAATTGGAGCAGTATTCCCAAGCTTAGAAAATACTGTCTCCAGAAACTCAGAGGCCAACCAGGAAAACACTTCCCTCTTAATGATGGAAGGGATAAAAATTCAACAAATTTATTTAATGTGGAAGGCATGTTCTGGACTACTAGTTCCCCAAAACTTCACTTAACATGCTGAGGATTCCAAATCTTCACTGGGTTTAAGTTCCACCCTATAAAATCACATGCATTTTTTTCAACCAAGGCCTGTAATATACTTGCACCTCCTTGCTCAGTCTTATTAAAATTTTATGATTGATATATTGAGACAATAGAATGACCAAGACGCCTAAGTCTCTTTGGACTATATTACGACAAAAGACCAAGATCAGAAGTAGTACAATTGTCTTATCCAGTTGAATTTCAACTGCTTCTGGACATATTTTATAATAGGGCTGGAAAAATGATTTTGTATATTATAATTTTTAAATCATAAAGACTACTTTGTAATTGAGTCTGTGTTAATCTGTTTAAGCTAAGGCATCGCAGCTGGCAGGGAAGCTACAGTGGAGGTACCACTTAGTGAAGTTTGCAGTATCCACTGTCATCTCCAGCATCCATCTGGAGGAGGGATTTTTTTTTTTTAAGTTTACAAGGGAAGTCCAGTGAATTTTATGGGGCTATCAAATGTACTACCACCTCGTACAGTCTTTAGGAGTGACTCTAATCTCTGCCATTTCCCTGAGATACAGTTTTTAATTTACTCTTAGATTGGAGGAGCAGAGACAGTTTCAGTGGCTTTCATTTGGCTTTCCTAATTATAATGAATCTTAATGCATAGGCAAGGAACCAATGTAGGGGTTCTGAGAGCTACTAAGTATGTCTATTCCAAATAAATATCTAGGAAAGAAGGTCATAACTACATTCCCCTTACTAACTGAAAGACCGTGATGATGCTTCAGGCCTCCGATTAGCAATGCTAAGGCCCTGTATCCAATAATTCTTCATATGTTTAGGTAGTATGCTTCTTTTCAGCGTATGGTTACCCAAATAAATGTATGTAGGGAGAGTCATTTCTGTATTTGATGTGGCGTTGCAGAGTTATTCCTTTTTAAGGACCTGGCATCTGCTTCTGTCCGCAGGGTAAGGGTATGGAAATAGGCTCAGGTATATACACTCAACAACAGATCATGACTTTTATTGAGACAATGGGCTTTGATATCATGGTTATCCTCTTCCTCTCTCTCTCACTCTCTCTCTCTCTCTCTTCCCCCAGTTTTATTTTTCCCCTGAGACAGGGTCTCACTCTCTTGCCCAGGCTGGAATGCAGTGGTGGGATCATGGCTTACTGCAGCCTCCACCTCCCAGGCTCAGATGATCCTCCCATCTCAGCCTCCCAAGTAACTGGGACTACAGGCATGCACCACCACACCTGGCTTTTTTTTTGTGTGTGTAGACAGGTTTTTGCCATGTTGCCCAGGCTGGACCTCAACTTCTGCACTCAAGCAATCCACCTGCCTTAGCCCCTCCAAAGTGCTGGGATTACAGGCGTGAGCCACTGCACTCAGGTTCTTTCTCTTTTGATTGTATAAATCAAACAATAACCTCATTGGCTATCCAACCTTCTTGACCTGAGGGACACTATGCTCTATTAACCACATATATGCTTGTTTGTAGTAAGGCCTTCTTGTCTTCTACTTCAACCTTGTCTCTCATTAGGATAATTATAACTCTACTTGCTTCTAATAGTCAAATGCTTCCACCTGGCTTCTTTTATTGGGGGAAAGTGGGTGTGCAATCCCCATTGTTTCTATGAATATAAAAGTATCTACTATTATCAACCCTGTTGATAGTAGCCATTAAAGTATACAGTGATGACAGTGTTCCCTTCTCTAGTACATTCTGTACCATACTGCGCAATGAGATGTCCTTCAAGTTTTTCTGCAAAACAAAGGTAACTAATGGGTTTTTCAGTCTTTTTTTTTTTTTTTTTTTTTTTTTGAGACGGAGTCTCGCTCTGTCGCCCAGGCTGGAGTGCAGTGGCGGGATCTCGGCTCACTGCAAGCTCCGCCTCCCGGGTTCACGCCATTCTCCTGCCTCAGCCTCCCGAGTAGCTGGGACTACAGGCGCCCGCCACTACGCCCGGCTAATTTTTTGTATTTTTAGTAGAGACGGGGTTTCACCGTTTTAGCCGGGATGGTCTCGATCTCCTGACCTCGTGATCCGCCCGCCTCGGCCTCCCAAAGTGCTGGGATTACAGGCGTGAGCCACCGCGCCCGGCCTTTTTCAGTCTTATGTAGTATATCCACTCTAGCACAGCTACTTCTTCAAGGACTTTGGTCCTTTCTTTCGGCGTCTGCCATAGGCATTTCTACTTAACTTAATGGGAGCCATTACTTTCTCCATGCTTCCAAAAATAGTATGTTAGTATTGTTCCCTGAGATCCTTGCCAGAATGTTATATTCTGTATTACAGGACAATGTTTGCATATAATAACCTCTTCCTTATTCAGCCTCATGTTTCAGCACCCTTGATCCAGCACATTTAGAATAGAGACTCATATACTATCTGGAACATAATGGCTATGGGTCCAGCCTCTCTTTTGAAATGTAGTCCCTGCCCTACCTTAGCATGCCCAGAACTTTCCTGGGCATGTTGTGATTTCGTTCTAGTAATTGGTGATCGGTCATGTGGGTTGATCCTAAAGGGTACACATGTTAAAAGGCACTGGCTTCTGCCATAGCTTTCATCAAGAATATATGTCTATCCTCTAACAATAAGAAGTTGGCCACTCTTGCAGGCCCAGAAGAGTTCAGTGAATTCTGGAGCTTCAAGATTCTGAGTGCACCAAAACAGGTGTCCCCATGCCAATTCTCAATAACTCACTCTTTCCCAACCAGTGCTTGGCATAGGGGCACTGAAAGCAGGTTAAGAATAAGCCTTCCTTGAACTTCACTACTCATATAATTAGGTCCTGGCCTTATTCATTAGAGTTATCTGCCCTGTATTCCCTCCCCGGAACTCTGCTACTCTTTATAATTAAGTCGTGGGCTTCTTTCTTAGGATTTTTCTGCCCTCTGGCTGCAGAAGATAAGTCTTTTTTTATGCTACCAAGGAAACTTCTCCTTCCACACTTACTTAGGTGATTAATCACCTACTGTTTATTGTCTTCTTCCAGTCCATAAATGGCATTCAGCAAGAGTTAACAGGATACCATTGTTCTTATAATATGTACTTCCAAGAAACCTTTTAAAAACCCAAATATCAAACCTCCTACTGCATACCTATCTTACCTCTGTTCACTACTTGTACAATTTAACACATGCCTCACAACAGTCTGTAACCAATGGAGTCTTATTTTGCACTCGGGTGTGAGGTAGTCCAGTTCCAAAATCCTATTTTAGAGGCTGATTCCTTGGTCCATGCCTCGTACCAACAGTTTTATGGTGGTTAGCCTCGGAAACAAATTTTGAGGCAGAGATTTGCAGGCTGAAAATTTATTCAAGCTGCCCTCAGGGTCAACATCTGTGGAGAATTAAAGGAAGCTGGCTTGGACAGAGGAAAGAATTGAAAGTGATGTAGCTGCACCAAAAGTCTCAGTTGCTCCTATGGGAGCTCTAGAGATGGAACAATGTTTTAGAATTGCTCCAATTTGAGGCAAGGACATCAGGTGTTTATATTTCCACATCAATTAGTCATTGGATGCATGCTGACTTCCAGGAGGGAGATGTGACCTTGGATAAAGATATTCTTTTTAGCTGAGAATTATTTCCTGAGAAGAGCCATCAGCGGCCAATAATCCCAGCGGCCAGAGGAGTGCTGTCTAGTAGGGAAATCTAGGTAGCATTTTCTATTACTCCAGTAAATATTACCTACACTTTAAGTGGGAGTAACACAATATAAATAAGTTCTGTATTATGTATCTTGTCAAATATTTCTAGTATATATTGCTAGTCTTAGTATATAATGTCACAGGCAACATGTGAAGCACCATTATATATGAATTTATATATGTACATATATGTCTATAAAAAATTAGATGGGTCTTATGTGTTTATATTTTCCGAATAGCCTGGAAATATTACATATATATCATATATATAATATGTAATTATATAGATGATGATGACAAGTTATATCTATAAATCATTAGAATAATTTTATAGAAATCTAATTATGGTTCTTGTTATTATAATAAAAACTGATATTGAAAATGCAAAAAATGAACTTAACAAAGACATGCTACATTATTTGTAGGTCTCAGTACAAGAAAAAAGGCAGAAATAATTCATGGTAGCCAAGGACTTGAAGAGAATAGAATTTTACAAATACTTTGGAGAAAAGGGAGCACAAGATATAAGAAAAGGACATTAATAAATAAAAAGACTGGTAAGTTAATGATTGTTCCGAAGGGTCTGAACTATTGAGCTCATTTTTAAAAATTTATACTGGAAAGAAATAAGGGAATTGAAAGCTTTGGGTTATTTTGCAATAATCATTGCAGACACTGGAAAATTGCTTATAAAATAAACAGAAGGTGTGATGAACATCTTACACAAAAAATGGGAGTTAACCTAAATGCAAATATTAATAGCTAGTCTTTTGTTTCTCTCTCTTTCTCTCTTTCAGTTTTAAACATTTATAAATTGATAGTCTCTACTTCTCATCTCCTCATTATTTTGATTTTGATTTTGATTCTTAGGGTGCTTCTTTTTAACAGTGATTTCTATTCTTCTGAGTTGGAGGCTACAGCTGTTCTCATCAGACAAATGACTTCTTTCCCTGGTAGGCAACCTAGTAGCTGATGCTCCCACTACAAAATTGTCAGAGATCCTCTCTTTCTCAGATATCCTGTGTCTGCCCAATTCTAAAGCTACCTTCAGGCAAAAGTTAAAGGCAAATATAACTCTAAGCACTCTACAATCAAGATATAATATGTATGTAAACAAAATAATCTTGATCTAGTCATTTTCTATCCGGTAATTTTATCTGTTTTTAAGACAACTAAATTTTATAGAGTAAACACCATCTCTGTAATAGTTCAGTCTATTTTTTCCACTCTGGATTTATAATTAAAGTAAAACTTCACCTGAGAAAAAGATGAAACAGTCATACTCTTCTCAACTAATATTCTCAGGTTCCAAAAATAAATTATTTCAGTGTCTCCTATCTCCCCCATAAGATGGTAACTACTGATGTTGAGTCTCAATGAGATGTGTTTCCACAAGATCTATTTTTAAATTATTTTAAATCTATTTTTATTATAAAATGTAACAGAAAAATTTTAAATTCATGACCATTCATATTTGCTCCCTCTCACCTGCCCAATAAATACCCATGAGCATTTTCCTTTGCCAGACTAACTCCTGGGTCATTTTTCTGCATATCACAATAAAGAGTAACAAGCAGATATTGTGACGTCAGAAAGGCTAGCACAATATACACGGGAGTAAACAGAGAGTGTCTGGCAAGTGTTAGCTACAGGAAAAGCAAAGGTGTTATGGTCTGAATTGTGTTCCCCCCAAAATCCATACGTTGAAGTTCCAACTCCCAGTACCTTAAAATATGACCATATTTGGAGATAGGGCCTCAAAGCATGAGATGAAGTTAAAGTGAGGTCATTGAGGGGTCACCATAATTCATTATGACTGGTGTCCCTTTAGGAAGAGGAGATTAGGACACAGACACACACAGAGGGAAGACCATGGGAAGACACAGAGGGAAGATGGCCATGGAAAAGCTAGAGAGAGAGAGTTCTCAGAAGAAGTAACTCTGCCAACACCTTGATCTCAGATTTCTAGCCTCCAAAGGTGGGAAAAAAATTAGTTTCTATTATTTATGCCACCTACTGTTTGGTACTTTGTTATGGCAGACTTAGTAAACAAATACAGAAGGAAAAATTCAAGATGGCCTCTTGTAGGTTGTGATCTGTGGGGTAGCTTAGGGGAGCCTAGAGGAGGAAGGACTGAAATGTTAGAAGCAGCTGTCTTGTGGTGTACAGTTCAGGATTGAGGAAGAATGAAGACTGTAAAGCAGTTTAATGGGTATTAGATATGTAAACCTTGTTGGATTTTGTTGTTCTTGAGAAGAGGCTCAGTAAAAATTTACTTTTAAATTATTTTTGTATATCAAATAATAAATGTTGTTTTAGCTAGTACTGAGATTTTAAAAACCACCAAGCTGCTTAATTTAAGGTATCACTAAGGTGTGCCATTCAGTGCCTATTTATGTGGCAAAATCTTTAAATATATTACCTTTTATCATTACAAAGAAAGGAATGTATTCTTATTCCTAGGCCAATAGATGTGAAATGACTTGTCCAAGTTTACCAAAAAATTAAGCACCAGTGCTGAAATTTAACCTAGATCAATCTTACTGTAATAATTGAATTCTTTCTAGGTTATACCATGCAGTTTCTCAAAACTATTTCAAGGACATGTTGGAAGGAACTGGAGGTTGCAGTTGACTCTGTTGTAGCCTTGCCAGCATACGTTTTCTGGACTGAAAGCACCTGTCTCTCACTTTCTGTGAGTGTTAGTGGGAACAGTTGCAGTTATATTCTTTTTAGAATTGACCTAAATAAAAGGGAGACATTTTGCTTCAGTGTAGGATGACTCTAAACATTCCTGAGCTAGAACTCCCTATGGGAGGAGACAGAGGCTAGATTTTATCTGCATGTACATCTTCATAAGCTTCTTCCCTTCTATTTGTCTCACTTGCTTTTATGTTTCACCTAAGCACAGTACCTTAATAAGTGGCTAGCACAAGAATCCCCATTCAGGGCAAAGCTTCTAGGAAATCTGACCTACAACTGGATTATAGTAACTAGCTAAATAACAATATGACTAAAGCTTATTATGGGTAAATATTTGATGATAAACAACAAGAAGGAAGAAAGCCTCTGTCATTTGATGAGTAGTTAAGTGTGCATTAAATCACAAAGAAATGATAGTTGAAGGGAGATAACCTAGAAAAAAATTGTTTATTGGGATCTACAGTGTTATGAAGGTAATTAAATGCATTTTAGCACAGATCTGTGCAGTTTTTGACAGTGTACATTGTGTGGTACACAAATGTCACAGGCTTTTTATGTGTCAGGACAATTTTTGGTTGCAAGTGACCGAACCTCAATTCAAATAAACTTAGTCCAAAAGAGAATTTATTGGTCTTTTTGTCTGCGAATTTGAGGGCAAGGTTTATTGTAGACATAGTTGGACCTAGGATATCTCAACTACTTATTCTATCTCTTGACTTTGTTTGGCTTTATTCTACACACATTTGATATAAAGATGCCTGTGTAAAGGTAACTTTTCTAATGCTCAGGAAAGGTTCTAATGGGTTTTGGCTATATCATTTGTTAGTTTTTAAATATGTACTGTGTCCATGGTATCTGGTGTTTTCATTGAACAACCTGAGTACTGTGTCTATCATTGTGATAGGAAGGGGTGGATATATAACTGAGAGTATAACTGTGGCTGCATAGAGTAGGGAGAAGTTCCCAGTAAAGCCACAAAGACATAATATTTATTAGGCAGACGAAAATAGTTCTACAATAGTCTACTAGTGATAATATTAGTGACACATGAAAAAGGTAGTGAGGTCCAATTTGTTTGGAAAATGCAAAATTAATCAAATTAGGATACACTTATAATTGTATATCTCTTACGTTATTTAAAATGATAATGGAAATTTTGAATTTCCATGATGGATATATATCATACTTTATTTTACTAAAGTTATTTGACCTTGGGATCTATTTTTCATGAAGTATTTCATGGAATCCCATCAGACTTGGGTTCAAAGTCAGATGCCTCTACTATGTAACTTAGGAAAATTAGTTAAATTCTCTGGGACTCAGTTTCTTCAGCTATAAAACAGGAATAACTAAATGCTCTTAACAAATTTATTATGAGGATTAAAATAAAATGTATTAAAGATGCCTGGTTCTATGAAAGCAGTTTGTGTTGGGCCAAATGATATCAATTCAGAGACCACTGCATGCCTCTCCAAAGTATTAAATTGTTTTCTGAAAATGGGATTAAAGTACTTTTATAGTTTCGTTTGTTTGTTTTTTAGCAAGCTGATGAAAGGTAAATTTGGTGTTGATGAGGAATAATTTATGGGTTGGGTATAAGTTGAATTGGATTTGAGATGGCAAGGAAAAAAGGAGCCAGAGATATGAAGGACAGTTGGGAGGTTATTGTAATAAATTGTGAATTGATGGACACCTGAACCAAGGGAACATAAGGCAATAATGTATAACTATTAAGAAAAAACCATAAAAAAGATTAGAAGACTTTCAGAATGACCCAATTCAGCAGTTTACCATGAGAATTTTATTTTCCAAATAGTCTATTTAATTGAATAATGATGGGGGCTAAAAGTTGTGCAAGGTGTCCTCCTTTCCTCTAGGTTAATAAAATAATATACTGTGAAATACAATAAAATTGTAAAAACTTAGTCATCATCAGTAAAATCTTCCTTCATATACAGTTATTCATTTTACACTTTTCATACTTCTGTTAATAGAGTGTGATGTAAAATAGGGCTTTTACATTACATGTTGAACAGTTCAGAATAGTCCTGTTTTAATATATGGACTTAGGTAAAATGTCACATGCAGTAATGATCACACTTGAGACAATATTACAAAATTAATTAACCTGCTTTAAAATGTTTTAGCAGAATGATAACCATACAAAAAGTGAAGATTCCTCAAATATGAAAATACATTTCGAGGATTAGAGGTAGAAATTGAGAAAAAAGAAATTGGATTTAATATCTGAAGAACATTCCTATTGATTTATTTAATAGACTTAATAGAGATAAAAATTTACCTATATTCATATGTTATAAAATATACTAGAAATAAATTCAGAAAATTATCTTATTTATTGACAGATTTAAAAAACATTATAAAGTATAATAGGAATTAACTAATTTTCTTCAATTCATTAATAAGAAAGAATAAAAATAAAGGGAAATACCTCTGAATTCCAGAACACAACTGCTTCCAATTAGTTTTTAAAATTACTGCTTTCTTAGGTAACATATTTTTGGTTGCAAAAAAAAGGAAAACAAAACCTTGAGCTAACAAGCAATGTCAAAGAATCAAAGGAAGAAGTATCAAAAATCAAAGGCTTCAGAATGAGCAGAAAGCTGGACAATTCTGTAGTTTGTGAAGTTACACTATAAAGGTGACTCAGCTTCCAGGTTTAACCTGCTGTACCAATCAATTTTTTTATTTGGGGAGGTAATAAAATTGGCCCAACTTGGGTTAGATGTCAACCTTAATTCAATCATCTATGACCAAGAACTGGGGTCTTGTCATAAAGGGATCTATCTTCTCATAGAAGAGACACTGTGCAGATTCCCCATAGGCATTAATAACTAGGACATTTGTTAAACCAACGACGCAAGAACTTCATCTTTAAACAAAATTAGCACCGAAAAAAATATACCTGAATATACTATCCTTAAAAAAAATCCTGATCTTTGCTTGAGCCCAGGGGTTCGAGGTTGCGGTGAGCTATGATTGCACCACTGCGCTCCAGCCTGGGTGACAGAGTGAGACCCTGTCTCTTAAAAACAAACAAACAAACAAAAACTCGATCTTAACCCTCTCTGTGTTTTCCTAGGTAAACTTGATAGACTAAATTTATTTACTGAGGAATCACTTTGAGCAGTCTCTGTTTGGAAAAAGAAAGAAGATGTAGCACAATGTTTTGTACTAAAATCTTGCTGTTTTTGTTGACTTGTTACTGGAACTATTTTTTTTAATGTTTAAATGTAATCTTACATAAAATCCCAGTTTAAACAACCAATAAAAACGGAGTTGCTTTGATGGATATAGGGAGGGATGGCGCTGAATTCATATTTGCTTTGAGTCTCTACTTGCTCCTTATAGTGGCCCCTGAAGTTTCTTTTCAGAGACCCATATCAATGCAGAATACGATCTGAAAATCACTAGCATATTAGAAAAAAGATAAAAACATAAGATTTGGGATCAGAGTTTTATAAAATGATGACTCTGGTACATACTAACTCTAAAACAGGTTAAATCACTTAAATTCTGCAAACCTTCATTTCTTCAGCTGAAAACTATAGATAATACTGATGGCATCTAACTCACAAGGTTGATGTATTAAATAAGTCACCTGAAGTAAACCATGCAATGCTGTACACTGTTAATTGATGCTGTAATTAGGATCTATTACCCCACCCTCTGAGGAAATAGTTCCTTTAAGAGCCAGTTCCTTTAAGAGCCTGTCTGGTCCCCCAGAGACCACATGCTTAATGATTTCAACAGTCCCCTCTTTGAAATAATTATGTTCACCTCCAAGGATATATTAATCAGTGACAACCTATGTATTAACAAAACACCTGCTATTCAATTATTTTTACATCATATAGCTTACTCCAAATATGTTGGTGGTTATTTATCTTGTTCTGTGGTCTTAGAAGAGTGTGAAGAGTGAACATAAGCAGAGAGAATGTACATTAAGTCACTGATTTGACAACATCTAGGAGCCAGCACAAGCCAGTGTGAGTAGCAGACTCAGTCTCCCTTTAGTGCCAAGCAGAAGATTACTCATGGAGATAGAGTAGAGCACCTGGGAGAAATGGATTCTGAGGAAACAGGAGTATCGCCTTGATATTATTCCCTTGAGTGTGATTATAAACCATGAAATGAGTGACAGACAAAAACTGCTTAAGTTGAGGCATATATTTTCACTGTATTTTGGATGCTGCTACTCTGACAATGTATTTTAAGCCCAGTATTCTTTCTTCTTTTTTTGTTCTTTTTTTTTTCTTTAAATTCTCATTCACTTGTGTGAAAGCTGCTCTTCTCAAGACTGAAGCTTTTCTGTAGTAATGTCTGCTTAGATTTGAATCTACTAGGGCCTTGGCACATACAGCTAGAATGCTCTATTTTTAAAGATATATTGTGTCTGTTAATACAAAGGTCATGATGTAGATTTTTGCACTTAGAATCAGCATGAGAATGTGGAACTGTTCCTTGCAGATCTTGGCTCCATCAGCAAATAAATTAAAATAAACTGGAGGCTTGAAATAGAAATAATCCTCCTTCCAAGTGTTTCATTTAGAGAATGACATCCTGTTTTCTCCAGAATATCATGGGTAATTCTGCATATGAATGAATTTGGGAATAGAAAAAGCCCAGCAAATGAAACACACAAAATGACTTTTAGAATTTTAGGCTTCAGTAATAAAAATAAGTGATGATGGTTTTCTCTTTAAAGTGTGAAGGGTAAAAGGAAACCCAAAACTTAGTTACATAAAGTTTTAGAGTATTATAACTATTTGTGAAAGCAAACAATAAGTTAAATTCTACCTGTAAGAGAATATAGTATATATTTAAGACAATTTTGACACAATTCGGCTGTCACAGAAGTCAGACCAGCTTTCTGATTACAGTCACAAGTGACTGGACCTAAACATCACTCACGTGGAAAACTCTGATTAGCCTCTCAATGGAGCCTGACAGGGCTTTAACTCATGTTCAAAGTAACTGTTGTCAATGTCACAAAAAAGCCTTAGTTTGCTAATAAAACCCTATTAGTAAAAAAAGAAATACAAAAAGTACAGGAATATATATTAAATCGAAAAATAAATTTTCGGTCATCTTAAATATAGATCCCTTCCATTATGTCACTGCTAAAATTGACCCAGTAGCTGCAGCAATTTTGGCCCATGCGTATCCCTAGTGCCCTTATGTTGAATTTTACTACTATTTAAAATGAAGCAAGAGCTTAGTTACATTGCTGTCTTTGGTAAATAAAAAAGCAGGAAGAATCTCCAATATCTTTATATTGCCTGGAATAAAATAATTTTTTTAGACTTAGCATCCTTTCAGGAAACTTTATGAGAGTTCACAATGGAAATATCATGGCAATTTTTGTATCAGGATGATGAGGATGATGATGATAAATGAACAAATCTGTAACATCCACACGTTTATGTGAAATTAATGTCAGATACTGACCAGATGATCCTCAAACTTTTTCCTTTTCTTGGGCACTGTGAAAATATGTTTTGTAACCCTTTTGATTACCCGGGGTCATATGACTTATTCCCACCAATGAATTCTGAGCACAAGTGATATGTCGCTTCTGATGTGAGGCAGTTAAGAGCTGTGCTTCAATTTATTTCCCCGTTCTTTTGACTGGGTGTCACCATTTTGAATTTGAAGCCATGTATTACAGATGGCCAAGCTTCAGTCATCCTGTGTCTCTGAATGACTGCACAAATTTTAACCTTTTCTTCCTACTTTTGGGGACTATTTGTTTTTTGACATAAATGAATAATAAACATTTACATTGCTACTCCTTTAAGGTTTGAGGGTTATTACATAGCCAACTTACCCACTATGACTTGTACCTCCTCATACTTGATAATAAAAAATAGAAGTAACTGTGATACAAAAATAAGAAAGACAGGGTAAAGGCAGGAACCAGCAAATGCTGGCAACTGACTATAACATTAGTTGTTTTAGAAGCTATCATAACTATACCAGGGAAAAGAAGAACCTGATGAGTTCTGGTAATATCAGTTACATGTGACAGATTGTACTGGGTCCAACAGTTAATAAGCATTGGTTGTCACAAACAGTGACCAAATAGAAAAAAATAAATGTTTACATATTATGATCAATGTGTTTCTTTAGCCAATGTCTTAAAAAAGGAGAACTGATAGTGAAGATACAAGTCCTCATCGCCTAGGACATTAATTTTCTCAATGATATTAATTGTCATAACATACTGATGAGGGATGCATACATTTTTAATGATACTGGCAGAACAGGTCAACATATCATGATTTTGGGGCACTGGATTTTGTAATGCTTGTAAAACAAGATTTTGAATCAATGCTATACATTTGGGGACTCAAAGTAGGTTTCCAAAATTAAAAAACATGAATGCTCTAAAAAACTAATTAACAAATTAATTAACTTAACAAATATTTGTTTATTTATTGAGCACTTATTGTCAGACCCTGTTTGGGATCTGAAAGTGGTACCTACATTACATTTTAATAAGTTTAACTATTAAAATGAATCTCAGCCTGATGGCAAGTGTTTTGCATCTTCAAAGGAAAGTAATCCTAATGCTAAATCCTGATCAAGAATCAATGGATGGAGCCAGGTGCGGTGGCTCATGCCTATAATCCCAACACTTTGGGAGGCCGAGGCAGGTGGATCACTTGAGGCAGGGAGTTTGAGACCAGCCTGACCAACATGGAGAAACCCTGTCTCTACTAAAAGTACAAATTATCCAGGCGTGGTGGAACATGCCTGTAATCCCAGCTACTCGGGAGGCTGAGGCAGGAGAATCACTTGAACCCAGGAGCGGAGGTTACGGTGAGCCAAGATCACGCCATTGCACTCCAGCCTAGGCAACAAGAGCGAAACTCCATCTCAAAAAAAAAAGAATCAATGAATGATCTTGACAAGTTTGATTTGTTACCCTTTTAGCTTCACTTCTAGTAATATATTGCAGACCTCCTATAAAGTATTCCTCAATTAAAGTTTTCTAATACATAAAATTTGTAGATAATGCTTAAATATTTAAAAAAATTTGGACTTCAATATTTTGTTCATTTGATCTGCTCTTATGCCAAATCCATGGAGATCTGGCAACATGACTCCATATTTTTTTGCAATTCTGCCTTCTAACAAGTACTAAGTTAAAATAAACATAGCATTCTTTGTTCATGCTGTATCAAGCAGATTGTACTCAGGTACCAAAATTATTCATGATTAAACCTCTGATTGGTAGATTGTAGCTATACTCAATTGGCATATCCTCCAAGAGAGATTACTTGAAACAGTATAAGATTTAAGTGCAAAATTATACAGGCTGCTTTCCTAAATTTGAGTTATCTACATTAGCTTGTTTTAATTTCAGCTCTTGCAATACAGCACTTCTCCTGAGGCAGGGGGCCAAGAAGCTACATCTGAGATGTTGCAAAGACTCCTGATGCAATTACTGTTTGGATAAATGCTACATTACTTCATTTGTGTACTTTAAGTAAACTGGGTCTATTCAGTGTTCTATGAGTCTTCTTTCTAATTTCTAACCCAGGACAAATTGAAATTCAGTCAGTCCTTGTGTAAGGCACAGGATTTATATTTAATGTATCAAACAAAGTAAAAAATATGTATGTATCTATTTCTTTCTGGAAAACAATTATGGGCATTAACAAACCCATGTATAACTGTATGCTACTTTCCCAATTAAAATATTCCCAAAGGTTCTCCCTTTCTTGATGGTGATTAGCCGTGAAATAAAAGGATAACTTGTCCTCACTAACCCCTAGCTCATAAATGACTGTGGAAAATGTGGTCTACGATGTTTGTACTACTAACTAAACTTAATCCACCTTCTTCCTTCCCTTACTCCCTCTCCCTCTTTTTCTATCTTACCTTCTCTTCCACATTTGTCTCTCTCAACCAGTCTTTCTTTTGTTTTTTTCTATCCGTCTCTCTATGCAAGCCACCAGCAATAGGGATTTTAGATGTATTTTTATCACAGGCAAATTATATTAGAGATTGATTACTGCTTTTTATATAAATTACTGGTAAATGCTTATTATTAGTATGATTTTAGACAGAGTCTTCTTCTGTCCAGGCTGGAGTGCAGTGGTGCGATCTCAGCTCACTGCAACCTCCGCCTCCCAGGTTCAAGCGATTCTTCTGCCTCAGCATCCCCAGTAGCTGTGACTACAGGCGCGCACTACCATGCCCAGCTAAATTTTGTATTTTTAGTAGAGACGGGGTTTCACTATTTTGGCCAGGATGGTCTCAATCTCTTGACCTCGTGATCCGCCGGCCTCAGCCTCCAAAAGTGCTGGGATTACAGGCGTGAGCCACCGTGCCCAGCGGTAAATGCTAATTATTGGTTGGATTTCACTTTGCAGAGAAATTATAGTTCTATAAGACAGGAGAGTCTGTTTCAATCACAGTTTACACATAATCTTCTGAGTTAATTTTATAACTTAAATTATTCCTGCATCAACACAGGATTTGAGTTAATTTCAGCTTCAATATTTGCAATAATAAAATGTAAGATATGTAAAGGGGAGAGAATATTATATAAAAATTCCAGTGTAATATGGCTTCAATATCAATATACCCTGTTTCCCAGATGTAAAACTAAAAAAAAAAAATCATTCAATGATGAAAGCAAGTATATATCTTTTTGTTAACAGAGGAAAAAGAATTTTGCTTCTATTCAATTATAGAAGTATGATATTTTATGTAAAGAACATACATCTGCAATCTCTTTATACCTATTTCCTATACTGAGCTGCATGAGTATTGAAATATAATCCAGAAAAACGTCAGGATGTTAAAATAATATGGTTCAGGTATGAAGGTGAAAATAGGAGTACCATTTAGGAAAAGGTAGGACAATTGATGCTTATTACTTTTTAAAAATTTTTTGAAATACTGATTGTTTTAGTTTTTGGTCAATAGCTGTATACAGTAATAATCTCTCAAAATCAATATCTTGGTTAATACTTATATTCTGAGTGATTTTTGTATTTTATTTGGTTTTCTTTTTAATAATAACCCTATCAAGCAAAACAGCTATTAGCCCCTTTGTAAAAATGAAGAAGCTGAGGCACAGTCACATAACTTGCCCAGTCACCCAGCCAAGAAGGGGTAGAGCTAGAGTTTAATACCAGTCTGGCTCCAGCCCTATTTCCCCAGATTCTTGTGTTATAATGAATCATTAGGATCTAGGCAAGTACATGTCCTGGTTATTGTTTGATGAGTGATCCCTGTGATTTTACAGAGGCAAAGAAAATGAAGTCATAAAATCGGGAACCTGCATTTGCTTCCAGGAATTGTCAACATCCTTTAACCTGAAGAACTGTTTCAAAGGGACGTGTGGAGTTGGCCAGAACTATCCTTAAGCAGTACTTTATATTTATCCAGATAATTAGCTGAAACCTTCAATTTTCATGTCATAGATTTAATAGATAATTTAGTCTTTAAAATTCTAAAGCTAGTGTTAGACATTAGCTAGTTTAATTGAGATAGAAATTAATTAAGCTGACTAACTTAGGGCTGCCATAAAATGTTAGCTATAAAGAGTTCTGCCCCCACTCCCAGGTTATTGAATAAATTATCTTACATAGTCCTTTCTAAGACTGTAGTCAAAATTATTATGTGAAGTTTTATAAGCAATAATACTAGGCTATTTTTCCGTTATTCATTTTCTTGTCAAGCAATTACTTTTAACTGATTTTTAAACAATTTTTAATCAGTGGACTCCAGAAAAGAAATGGTTTTAGTTTTCTCCAATCATAACCTTTTACCATGTTGGTGAATTTCCTTTTTTTTTTTTTTCTTCATTCCTAAATGACCACTTTGGAAAATCCTTAGATTTTAATTTCTTTCAATTTTTATAAATTTCAATTGGGTCTAGTCTTTTGAAAAATTCCAATTCCATATTCAGTTGAAAGCTTTGTGACCTCTTCCTTTTCCATCCAAAGTTGTTTAAACTTGTACTCATATGACCCGGAATACAGATAAGTCATCCTCTGGGATAATTAAATGTCTTCACTACTTTCCTCTTGTAGGAATGGGAGAGGACTTTTCACTAACACGGGTCACCTGACAACATACTTCGTGGCAGGACTGCAAATTTTGAGCCTCGTGTGTGCTTGTTATGGAGAACCTTGGGGGCCTCCAACTGCACAGTTCACTCTCTTTGGAGGTTTTCTGTGCAGGACTTCTTCATTTTGCACATCACCATCCCCACTACCACAGTGCCCTATACTTTACCCACAGGAATCTTACAAATGGGGATACATTAGTCAGGGTTCTCCAGAGGGACAGAACCAATAGGATATGTACATATGAAGGGGAGTTCATTAAGGTGTGTTGACTCACGCCATCACAAGGTGAAGTCCCATAATAGGCTATCTTCAAGCTGAGGAGCAGGGAAGCCAGTGCAAGTGCCAAAACCTCAAAAGTAGGGACGCCAACAGTGCAGCCTTCAGTCTGTGGTCTGAGAGTTGGTGGCTAACCACTGGTACAAGTCCAAGAGCCCAAAAGCTGAAGAACTCGGAGTCTGATGTTTGAGGGCAGGAAGCCTCTAGCACGGGGAAAAGATGAAGGCTGGAAGACTCGGCAAGTCAAATCCTTCCACGTTCTTCTGCCTGCTTTATTCTAGCGGCAATGGCAACTGATCAGTTGGTGCCTACACAGATTGAGACTGGGTCTGTCTCTCCCAGTCCACTGACTCAAATGTTAATCTTTGGCAGCACTCTCACAGACACACCCAGGAACAATATTTTGCATTCTTCAATCCAATCGAGTTGATACTCAATATGAACCATCACAGGGGATATTGCAGCCAATTCCATAGATGCTTCTCTGATCTACTGTTTTTCTCTGAGTCCCTTCAGCCTTTGCTTAAATGAATGTAGGAGGCAAAGTGCAATTTACTATATAAAAAAGTGTGAAATAAGACGCTAGTCTCTCTTTCCTATAAGACTACGCCCTGCCCCCAATCCCTTTGAGTAGTTCCCCTGGATTCATTTTATTTGCCTTGAAGGAAGCCCCTTTATTTGACTCGAGTTTGGAAAGGTAAAGAGCTTTATTCCTCCCTTCCTTGGTTAACAGTTTACCACAGTTTTGCCCATACATGGCTTATTGAGGGAGAAGAGAGGAGGGAGGACGAGATTCTGGTAGTAGTTTGAGTTTAGTCATGTCCTAGTAAATTCCACAGGACATGTTAGCCTCCCCTCTCTGCATTTGCTTTAACCAATTGATTGATATTTGATACATTTTCTTTAACCACATATTAGCTCCAGACCCGCTTACCAGGTAAGGTCCAATCTGACATCTTTTTATATTTTTATATACATATAACTAAATTATAATCCTTTAAATATTATTGGGAAGATGTTGGTCAAAGGATACAAAATTTATTTGACAGGGGAAGCAAATTGAAAGAGGTCTGTGGTACATTATGGTGACTATAGTTAACAACAATGTAGTGTATCTTCAAAATTGCCAAAAGAGTAGATTTTAAGAGTTCTCACCACGAAAAAATAAGTTTGTGAGGTAATACATATGTTAATTAGCTTGATTTAGCCATTCCACAATGTGTACATATACCAAAACATTATGATGTACCCCATAAATATATACAATTTTTTATTTGTCAATTAAAAAATGAGCATTATTGGGTCATGCAGTTATACATTCTATTTTTAATTTAACATAAGTGTTTTCTACATAACGGAATATTATTCTAAACTGATATAAATATACGATTTTATGATGTGGATACATCAAAAAATAATTAATCTATCACATATTTGTTGTACCCTAACATAATTTCAGTTTTCTTGCCACTGTAAGGATGGTAAGAATGAAAATTATGTACTTAAATTTTTGTGCACATATTTAACTACTCTCTTATAAACAGTTATTGTAGTGGAATTACTGGCTGAAATAATTTTTATCTTTGAAATTTTCATTATGTATATCATGGAACTGCCCTTCAGAAATGTGCCATTTTATATTCTTATCAGCATGTGTGAAGTTGCCCATTTTACTGCTCAGGAATACGTAACATATTTCTGAAAAGTATTTTCCAAGTAGAAAGCAAAATAATGTAAAATTTTAATTTTAATTTACTTGATTAAAAGTAATTTAAATACTAACAATAGATCAATTACTCTTTATAGTTTGTATCTTGCGAATTATGTCTTTATTCCATTGATCATTTTCCTAATTTATGGTAAACTTTTGTGTTTTACATGATTTTGGTATGCTCACTTAATATCATGAGTATGAGAGTTTTTCAGTTTTTTTCTACGTGCTGACATACATTACAGATTATGGAAACCATTTTGAAATTCTAAAAGAAGTCACTTATAATTGATTCAGATTTGCACCATTTTTAGATTACTTTTTTGAAACAGTTTTTCCTAGGTGTTCCAGATTTATTGATCAATTAAAGCTTTTCTTCTTTTGTTATACATGTTACTCATAATCTCTTAAAGGGTTCATGTGTGTTATATACTTAAATTGTATTAATATAGAATTATAAGAAGCTTTCTAAAATTATTTTACAGCTTCTCCATATTTCTTTTATTCATTAAAAACGTTACTGAAACTGGATATTTGTGTCTTTTTTTCAAATGACAATTGTTGAACAGTTGTTAATATGGCTGTTTTGGAGTTTTTGTATTTTTTTCTTTTTTCAACTGTTATTTTAGGTTCCAGGGTTACATGTGCATGTTTGTTACATGGGTAAATTGCATGTCACTAGGTTTTGGTGTACAAATAATTTCATCAACCACGTAGTGGGCCTAGTACCCTGTAGGTAGTTTTTCCACCCTCCCCCTCCTTCCACCCTCTCCCCTTAAATAGGCCCCAATGTCTCTTGTTCGTATCTTTATGTCCATGTGTACTCAATGTTTGACTCCCACTTATAAGTGAGAACATGCGGTATTTGGTCTTCTGTTCCTGCATTAATTCGCTTAGCATAATAGCTTACAGTTCCATCCATGTTGCTGCAAAGGACACAATGTCATTGTTTTTTATGGCTGTGTAGTATTCCGTGGTGTATATGTACCACATTTTCTTTATCTGTTCTACCATTGATGGGCATTTAGGTTGATTTTTTTTTCTTTTCTATTGTGAATAGCATTGTGATGAAGATACATATGCAGGTGTCTTTGTGGTAGAATAATTTACATTCCTTTGGGTATATACTTCATATTGGAAATGTTGGGTTGAATAATAGCTCTGCTTTAAGTTTCTTTGAGAAATCTCCAGACTGTTTTCCACAGTGGCTAAACTAATTTGCATCCCCACCAGAAGTGTATAAGTGTTCCCCTTCCTCTGCCACCTCACCACCATCTGTTTTTTTTTTATGTTTTTATCATAGCCATTCTTACTGGTGTGAGATGTTATCTCATTGTGGCTATAATTTGCATTTCAATAATAATTAGTGATTTGAGCAATTTACATATGCTTGTTGGCCATGTGTGTCTCTTATTTTGAGAAGTGTCTGTTCATATCCTTTGCCCACTTTTTAATGGGGTTCTTTGTTGCTTGCTTGTTGATTTAAGTTCCTTGTAGATTCTGTATATCAGACCTTTTTCAGATGCATAGTTTGTGAATATTTTCTCCCATTCTGCATGTTACTTGTTTACTCTTTTGATGGTTTCTTTTGCTGTACAGAAGCTCTTTAGTTTAATTTGGCCCCACTTGTTTATTTTTATCTTTGTTGCAATTGGTTTTGGAGATTTCCTCATGAAATCTTTGCCAAAGCCTATGTCCAGAATGGTCAGATGGTTGTAGGTGTGTGACTTTATTTCTGGGTTTTCTAACCTGTTCCATTGGTCTATGTGTCTATTTTTGTAACAGTACCATGCTCTTTTGGTTACTGAAGCCCTGTAGTATAGTTTGAAATTGGGTAGTGTGATGCTTCAGGCCTTGTTCTTTTTGCTTAGAATCACCTTGGCTATTCAGGCTTTTTATTTGTTCCATATGAATTTTAGAATTTTTTTCTAATTCCATGAGAAATGTCATTGATAGTTTGGTAGGATTAGCACTGAATCTGTAAGTTACTTTCGGTAGTATACCTATTTTTTTTCCTTTATTTCTTTAAAAAAAAAAGATACATGTACAGAACGTGCAGGTTTGTTACATAGGTATACGTGTGCCATGTTGGTTTGCTGCACCTATTATTTACCCATCCTCTAAGTTCTCTCCCCTCACCCCCCACATGTCAACAGGCCTTGGTGTGTGTTGTTCCCTTCACTGTGTCCATGTGTTCTCAATGTTCAACTCCCACTAATGAGTGAGAACATGTGGTGTTTGGTTTTCTGTTCCTGTGCTAGTTTGCTAAGGATGATGGCTTCCAGCTTCATCCATGTCCTTGCAAAGGACATGATCTCATTCCTTTTTATGGCTGCATAGTATTCCATAGTGTATATGTACCACATTTTCTTTATCCAGTCTATCATTGATGGGCATTTGAGTTGGTTCCATGTCTTTGCTACTGTAAATAGTGCTGCAGTAAGCATATGTGTGCATGTGTCTTTATAGTAGAATGATTTATATTCCTTTGGGTCTATACCCAGTAATGGGATTGCTGGGTCAAATGGTATTTCTGGTTCTAGATCCTTGAGGAATCACCACACTGTCTTCCACAATGGTTGAACTGATTTGCATTCCCACCAACAGTGTCAAAATGTTCCTGTTTCTCCACAGGCTTGCCAGCATCTATTGTTTCCAGACTTTTTTTTTTCTTTTTTTTTTTGAGAGGGGGTCTTGCTCTGTTGCCCAGTCTGGAGTGCAGTGACACAATCTGGGCTCACTGCAAGCTCCGCCTCCCAGGTTCAGGCCATTTTCCTGCCTCAGCCTCCTGAGTAGCTGGGACTACAGGCGCCCACCACCATGCCTGGTTAATTTTTTGTATTTTTAGTAGAGACGGGGTTTCACTGTGTTAGCCAGGATGGTCTGGATCTCCTGACCTCATGATCCACCCGCCTCAGCCTCCCAAACTGCTGGGATCACAGGCATGAGCCACTGCACCTGGCCTGTTTCCTGACTTTTTAATAATGGCCGTTCTGACTGGCATGAGATTGTATCTCACTGTGGTTTTGGTTTGCATTTGATGATCAGCGATGTTGAGCTTTTCTTCACATGTTTGTTGGCCATGTAAATATCTTCTATTGAGAAGTGTCTGTTCATATACTTTGCCCACTTTTTGATGAGGTTGTTTGTTTTTTTCTTTTAAATATGTTTAAGTCCCTTATAAATTCTGGATATTAGACCTTTGTCAGATGGGTAGATGGCAAAAATGTTCTCCCATTCTGTAGATTGCCAGTTCACGCTGATGATAGTTTCTTTTGCTGTGCTGAACCTCTTTAGTTTAAATATATCCTATTTGTCAATTTTGGCTTTTGTTGCAATTGCTTTTGGAGTTTTTGTCATGAGGACTTTGTCCATGCGTATGTCCTGAATGGTATTGCCTAGGTTTTCTTCTAGGGTTTTTATGGTTTGGGGTTTTATATTTAAGTCTTTAATCCATCTTGAATTAATTTTTGTATAAGGTGTAAGGAAGGGGTCCAGTTTCAATTTTCTGCATATGGCTAGCCAGTTTTCCCAGCACTCTTTACTGAATAGGAGATCATTTCCCCATTGCTTGTTTTTGCCAGGTTTGTCAAAGATCAGATGGTTGTAGATGTGTGGTGTTATTTCTGAGGTCTCTGTTCTGCTCCATTGTTCTATATGTCTGTTTTAGTATCAGTACCATGTTGTTTTGGTTACTGTAGCCTTGTTGTATAGTTTGAAGTCAAGTAGTGTGATGCCTCCAGCTTTGTTTTTTTTTGTTGTTGTTTTTTTGTTTTTTTTTTGCTTAGGATTGTCTTGGCTATATGGGGTCTTCTTTGAATCCATATGAAATTTAAAATAGTTTTTCCAATTATGTGGAGAATGTCAATGGTAGTTTGATGGTAATGGCATTGAATCTATAAATTACTTTGAGCAGTACAGCCATTTTCACAATATTGATTCTTCCTATCCATGAGGATAGAATGTTTTTCCATTTGTTTGTGTCCTCTCTTGTTTCCTTGAGCAGTGGTTTGTCATTCTCCTTGAAGAATTTCTTCACATCCCTTGTTAGCTCTATTCCTAGGTATTTTATTCTCTTTGTAGCAATTGTGAAAGGGAGTTCATTCATGATTTGGCTCTCTGCTTGCATATTGGTGTAAAGGAATGCTTGTGATTTCTGCACATTGATTCTGCATCCTGAGACTTTGCTGAAGTTGCTTATCATTTCAAGAAGTTTTTTGGCTGAGATGATGGGGTTTTCTAAATATAAAATCGTGTCTTCTGCAAACACAGACAACTTGACTTCCTCTCTTCCTATTTGAGTACACTTTATTTCTTTCTTTTGCCTGATTGCCCCGGCCAGAACTTCCAATACCATGTTGAATAGGAGTGTCAAGAGAGGGCATTCTTCTCTTGTACTAGTTTTCAAAGGGAATGCTTCCAGCTGTTGCCCATTCAATATGATATTGGCTGTGGGTTTGTCATAAATAGCTGCTATTATTTTGAGATATGTTCCATCAATACCTAGTTTGTTGAGAGTTTTTAACATGAAGAGATGTTGGGTTTTTTAACAGCCTTTTCTGCATCTATTGAGATAATAATGTGGTTTTGTCTTTGATTCTGTTTATGTGATGGATTATGTTTGTTGATTTGCATATGTTGAACCAGCCTTGCATCCTAGGGATGAAGCTAACTTGATCGTGGTGGATAAGTTTTTTGATGTGCTGCTGGATTTGTTTTGCCAGTATTTTATTGAGGATTTTCACATTGATATTCATCAGAGACACTGGCCTGAAATTTTCTTTCTTTTGTTGTGTGTATTCCGGGTTTTGGTATCAGATGATGCTGGCTTCATAAAATGAGTTAGGGAGAAGTCCCTCCTATTCAGTTGTTTGGAATAGTTTCAGAAGGAATGGTACCAGCTCTTCTTTGTATTTCTGGTAGAATTCAGTTGTGGATCCATCTGGTCCTGGGCTTTTTTTGGTTGATAGGCTATTAATTACTGCCTCAATATCAGAGCTTGTTATTGTTCTACTCAGGATTCAACTTCTTCCTGGTTTATGCAGGGTATATACATCCAGGAATCTATCCATTTCTTCTAGATTTTCTACTTTATTTGTGTAGAGGTTATTGCATAGATTATTCTCTGATGGTAGTTTGTATTTCCGTGGGGTCATTGGTGATATCCCCTTTATCATTTTTTATTGTGTCTATTTGATTTTTCTTTCTCTTCATCTTTATTAGTTTGGCTAGCAGTCTATCTGTTTTGTTAATTTTTTCAAAAAACCAGCTCCTGGATTCATTGACTACTTGGAGGGTTTTTTGTGTCTCTGTCTCCTTCAGTTCTTCTCTGCTCTTAGTTATTTCTTGTCTTCTGCTAACTTTTGGATTACTTTGCTCTTGCCTCTCTAGCTCTTTTAATTGTAATGTTAGAGTGACAATTTGATATCTTTCTAGCTTTCTGATGTGGGCATTTAGTTCTATAAATTTCCTTCTTAACACTGCTTTAGCTGTGTCCCAGAGATTCTGGTAAGTAGTCTCTTTGTTCTCCCTGGTTTCAAAGAACTTTTTGATTTCTGCCTTAATTTCATTATTTACCCAGGAGTCATTCAGGAGCAGGTTGTTCAATTTCTATGAAATCGTGTGGTTTTGAGTGAGTTTCTTAGTCCCGAGTTCTGATTTGATTGCACTGTGGTCTGAGAGACTCTTTGTTATGATTTCAGTTATTTTGCATTTGCTGAGGAGTGTGTTACTTCCAATTATGTGGTCAATTTTATAGTAAGTGCCATTTGGCACTGAGAGGAATATATATTCTGTTGATTTGGGGTAGAGAGTTCTGTAGATGTCTACTAGATCCACTTGATCCAGAGCTGAGTTCAAGTCCTGAATATCTTTGTTAATTTTCTGTCTCGTTGTTCTGTCTAATATTGACAGTGGGGTGTTAAAGGCTCCCACTACGATTGTATGGAAGTCTAACTCTCTTTGTAGGTCTCTAATAACTTGTTTTATGCATCTGGGTGCTCCTGTATTGGGTGCATATATATTCAGAATAGTTAACACTTCTTGTTGAATTGTTCTCTTTACCATTTTGTAACGCCCTTCTTTGTCTTTTTTGATCTTTGTTGTTTTAAAGTCTGTTTGTCAGAGACTAGGATTGCACCCCCATTTGTTTGGTAAATTTTCCTCCATCCCTTTATTTTGAGCCAATGTGTCTTTGTATGTATGATGGATCTCCTGAATATAGCACACCAATGGGTCTTGACTCCTTATCCAATTTGCTAGTCTGTGTCTTTTAATTGGGGCATTTAGCCCATTTATATTTAAGATTAGTATTGTTATGTGTGAATTTGATCCTGTCATCATGATGCTATTTGGTTATTTTGCACTCTGGTTGATGCAGTTTCTTCTTAGTGTCATTGGTCTTTATATTCTGGTGTGTTTTTGCAGTGGCTGGTCCTGGCTTTTCCTTTCCATATTTAGTGCTTCTTTCAG
This sequence comes from Homo sapiens, assembly GCF_000001405.40. NCBI lineage: Eukaryota > Metazoa > Chordata > Mammalia > Primates > Hominidae > Homo > Homo sapiens. The sequence continues at coordinate 120,207,780 of NC_000007.14, read as the reverse complement.
GAGCTATTGCAGGGCAGGCCTGGTGGTAACAAAATCCCTCAGAATTTGCTTGTCTGTAAAGGATTTTATTTTTCCTTCACTTATGAAGCTTAGTTTGGCTAGATATGAAATTCCGGGTTGAAAATTCTTTCCTTTAGGAATGTTTAATATTGCCCCCCCATCTCTTCTGGCTTGTAGAATTTTTGCTGAGATGTCCGCTATTAGTCTGATGGGCTTCCCTTTGTAGGTGACCCAGCCTTTCTCTCTGGCTGCCCTTAACAGTTTTTCCTTCATTTCGATCTTGGAGAATCTGATAATTATGTGTCTTGGGGCTGATCTTCTCATGGAATATCTTAATGGTGTTCTCTGTATTTCCTGGCTGGGGAAGTTCTTCTGGATAATATCCTGAAGTATGTTTTCCAGCTTGTTTTCATTCTCCCCGTCTCTAGTCCCCAGGAAGGCTGGGACCAGGCCAGCCTTTGTTCTCTTGCCCCCTGCTGTGCTGGAGGGGTCAAGGTATTCTCCTCTGCTGGCAACAACACTCTGGCGGGGAGGTAAGGGGATCATGAAGGAATCCTTGCTGCAGGGTGCCATGGACAAGTGTGCACCACCAAGTGTGGTAGGGTGTCCACAGGCAAGTGTGCACTGGTGCAGTGGTCGGGGAGGGTGGCAGGCAAGAGTGCAGCAGCTTGTTTTATTTTTAGAAAATTTGTTAAGAGGCTGGGTGTGGTGGCTCACACCTGCAATCCCAGCACTTTGGGATGCCGAGGCGGGCGGATCACCTGAGGTATGGAGTTCAGACTAGCCTGGCCAATATGATGAAACCCTGTCTCTACTAAAAAATTCAAAAAATTAATTGGGCGTGGTGGAACATACTTGTAATCCCAGCTACTAGGGAGGATGGTGCAGGAGAATCTCTTGAACCCAGGAGGCAGAGGTTGCAGTAAGCCGAGATCATGCCATTGCACTCCAGCCTGGGCGACAGAGTGAGACTCCATCTCAAAAAAAAAAGAAAGAAAACTCATTAAGAAATTAATTTGGCTAATCTGTGATGTATAAAATATTAGGTTTTAGGATTTGGGATATAATTTATTCTTAGGATATATAAAAATAAGTTCTTGTTTTTGGAGTAATACATATATTTGAAAATGCTTATTTTATTTATACATTATTTTTGGGTATATATGTATGTTTTTGTGTTTTATTTATCAAATGCTGAGTAGTTTCTTTGGTTTTATATAACCATGATTTATGCATTCAAAAGAGCTCATCTTCAAAATTGCTTAAATATTTTGCTTTAACTGCAAATTTAAAATTACTGTATATATTTTCTATTTGCATTTGCTTAAATATATCTTCCCATCCATTTATTATAAATTTCTGTTACATATATATTAATGGCATCTTTTGTATATATTTTCTAACCAAGTCAATATGTTTAATATTAAATTTTACATATAATTAAATTGTTATCCAATAATATTAAATGCTCAATTTAACATTAAATGTTATATGATGTGATTAAAATTAGTGTTTTATATCTGTAATACTGTTTTATGTTTACTTTCTTATAGACATCGGAGGCTGTCATGAATTTTTCCCTTTGTAAATAACCCGATTCTTTTCCTTGCCAATAAGTCCTGAGCATTTAAAAAAAAAAAAAATCTTTGTAGTTCAAAGTGTTTGCTGGTATCTATTCATATTCATTTTCTTCCATCATATTCATATTATTCTTCTTCCTAAGCACAGTAAGTTTCTTCAAACCACTTTCACAGATTTTATTTTTCCCTTTATATTTTCCTCTTTTAATATTTTTAGAAAAATTTATTGATTATAATTTGCTTTTGTTTATGTTTTAATCATCAAGCTCCTAAGAAATATCTGTAATTATTTACTTAAAAGATTTTTGTCATATCTATCCTCTCGTGCATCATTTTATTTTATTTAATCTTGTTTATCTTCTTTATGATGGAGAAATCCAGAAATTTTTCTTCATGTCATTGATTAAAATGTCTACGGATTCAAGTAAAACTTCTGTTTTTTACTATCTCCAATGTGGATTTCAGATGTTGTGCAAATAAAATAGAATATTATGTGTGGACATGTATGTGTATACATTTTCAAAGGAAAGGATATTTTTATCTACTTGCCAACATGTAACTGTATATTTCAATACTAGTCCAGATAAAATATCATTACCCAATTTTATATTGATATAAACTTGAATCTTGGTGTTTGTGGCAGACAATAAGGAAAGAGAATTATATTTCCCTTTTAATAGCTAGTTGACCATAGCAAGATTTTGCTTCTAAAACACCATTTTCTCTCTAAGGCTTTTATGAATATTTAGTAAAAGTCAAAACACTCAGAATTAAAGATAAAATTTGAAACTATTGCCAAATTTTCAGCAGGATTGACATCTCATACAATTAACATAAGAATTGCAATCTGGAACTAATGAAGACTTCTGTCACTACCAAAAACCTGATTGTTGGCCAGACGTCATACTGATTGCTAGCCAGACGTCATATAAAACTGGAGCCTGCCTGGCCTTCTGTTACTTTAATGTTGTACAGTAGCAGTATGCATATGTCCTGTACAATATCTTTTTTCTTACACTGTTTGAGATACACCAGGGGGACAATACACAAGAATATTAGAACCCAAACAGCAAACCAAATTTTTCATACAGAGGTTCCTAGAAAGGCACTGTACTGCTGCCTCCACCAGAAGTGTCCAAAATGTGGTGAGGGTACTTTAAAGGGCAGAATGGAAGAAGTACAATATAGATGTGATAGATGGGTAGAATCTTTCCTGGGGCTTTTAACAATTAAGATGATAAAACCATGTAGGCAGCATTGAGGATGTTATTTTATGTAGGACAAAAGGGCAGACATCAAACACATTTAAAATAAGTATCTTACTTTAATTGCTTAGTAAAATAAGGGAAAGTGATAGTTTAGCCCTGAATTATACAATTGAAATTGGAATTTCATTTACCAAGAACAATTTCCTTTTCGCTCTTATTCTTCAAACATCAAAATACTGTATATAAAGATAAATCAATAATTGATCTGTGAGTCACCTAACTTAACTGATAGATGTTCCCGACCATTTAATCCAAATCTATGACCCTTGGACCAATAAATCATGATGTTTTACATTGTTCACAGCTATTTTCTCATACAAGTAAAGCAAAATAATATAAAATATAATGTAATAGTTGTACCTAAATATTTTAACTCTCATTTAAAATAAGAGATGACCTTTGCAGAATATCCTTAAGGGGGAAAAAAGTAAGACATTTGGAGAAATACCAAACAATCTAATGCATCTACAGTTTAAAGAAAAAAAAGAGTTGCTTCTTTTCATACCCTTTTAAACAAACAACACATATTGATTCTGGAGGTACTGTGCCTGCATATTTAGAAGTCAAACAATTTTGAGTCATCTTTAAATAAAATATGATTTTATACTTGTATTTTATTGCTTAGGTTACAAAATTATAATTAGATACTTTCAGAGTAATATTTTAGGAAAATAATTTTAGGTCTTTAAACCTAGACATAAAACTAAGGTAGTTACCAATGGAAAGTTTTGTTCTTCAAATTCTTTCCTCTAAATATATTGTATTAATGATATATACTATTGTATGAGTTGTATTTCAATTATTGGATTCAATTGCATTCCAAAGTCTTATGTTATATTAATTCAGTTGTATTAGTACAAATGTACTGCATATAAATATATTCTATACATTATATATTAATTGTAAAATTAATATAGATTTAATATTCTAGCCAGTATCTATTTTTTGAAATGCAGTTTATACTTTCTAAACCACACATAATATATTTAACATTAATAAAACACCTTTTGACTTTTGAGTCCCTCTGCTGAAATTTCCTGGGTTTAATAAATGGCCCATAAATGTTTGAAGAAGAAATGTGAGGTATGATCAGTTACCTTCTAGGGAAGGAGAATAGACTTTCAGATACTTAGCAGTGGGGTAAGAAAATATGAGTTCAGCCTGTCTTAATCCTACTTCTATGGCTAGTGAGGAAGACTTTCTCACAAGGACCCTTAAAGTGGTTGTTAAACTGGGGGCATGTGTGTTTATACTTTGCCTTCTTAATTTAATAATATTTCTGCACAGTTATATATATATTTAAATTCAATAAAATAAATATTGATAATTAAAATGAAGGTGAGGTTGCCAGTTTTAATAAAAATAAAGCAACTTTTTCATTATGATGATCTAAAATGGCTGTTTTAAATAATCAATTGGACTGATCTCATTACTAATAATTCTAAATTTAGGAATCCAATAATTTTAAAAATCTCATGATATTACGATATTGATGTGATAGTATTTAGTACTTAAGAAGCACAAATAAAGAACAAAGAAGGTTTGGAGATGATTCTAGGAATCTTTATTATGATGCTTGCAAAGGCCTTCTAAAGGCATAAAGATTAATGAAGTTGAGATGAGAGCACATGAGTATAGTTGGACATATTTTTCACCAAATTTACATAAAATGTTTTCTTTGATGGGTATTTTTGAGCAAAATCTCAGTCTTCATTATGGTTAACCTTTCTTTTCACTTTCTCTACTTAGTAACACATACATCAGAGAACTGAAAATGCTCATATCTACAAAGAGGAGAATAGCATATTAAACCTATATAAGGGGTCTGTGAAGATTATATTTTGCGGTGAGAATTCTAGATATTATCTGTTTCTTCAGTGCCATTAGAAGAGAACATTTTGCCTCCCTGCAAGGACAAAAAATTAAAAATGTTTATTGTACAAATATAATTTTATCGTCATGTATCCTATGATATTTTCTGTAGTTTTCCAGCTGTACTTTAAATTATTTCATTTTTATTGAAGATAATTTCTAAAAATCATCAATAATGCAAACTTTTAAACTTATATAAAATTAAAAGTAATTAAAAGTATAATGCATGAAAAAACATCCAGATTATAGGGTGACATAGAAAACCTGAATTATTTTGAACTGCCTATTATAAAGATGTGGGATGGATGTGTCATCCCTTTTTATCCTCCTAAAGTATTCCAGAGACTAGAGTACTGGGTCCAAAGTAAATCTAACAGGAATGGTTTTATAGATTGTGAACTTGAGGTCTAACAGTGTCAAGACAGAAGGTCATAGAACAAATCAATGGATCAGAAAGGACAGGAACTTGGAAATTTCTCTTACTCTCACTATTACTCAGTAAAAAGATGTGTAAAAATGAAGTTAAATGGTGAAAATTAACTTGTGAGTTAAGATTGTGCAGATGGCCAATATAGACAATATTTTGGACATGTATTTCTGTCTTCTTTTTAATTTGGCAGTTTCTTCTTATTGTATATTTATGTGTAGTTTCTATTTGATAAGTTTCCCCTTTCCTCAGTTACTTAGTCTTAGGTTCATAGATATCTTTCAGGTAGATTTATGAAACAAAAATAGGCAGAGCCAATTACAATGAAACAGGAAAACAGGCTAATAAGCAGAAATTGATACCATATTTATTGCCATTTAAATGGAATTTTTGATATTTTATGTATTAAAGATAAATAATACATTGATATGTGCTAAGTAATTACATATTTTTACTTAATTTCTAGTATATTATGGATCCTTTACTAAACAGATTTTTTTGTAACCACCTTTGTTTTTGTGTGTTTGGTTTATAAATTTTATTTCCTAATACGCTTATAAAATTTTAACTTTGAGACTGCAAAAATGTGGGAAGTAATTGAGACTCCAGACCTTCTTGCAAAGATATTCCTGTTTCTGAATAGCATATTGCACCCCTTTGCCCTGAAGTTTCTGGATACACTCAGAGAAAGTTTAGTTTACAATCTGCCTACTCTGTGATGAAGACTACCCTGATAACAGTGAGAAAACATTCTAACGGCATCAGAACGCTCTCAGACTTAACAACAATACGGGGTCTTAGAAGACAGTAGAGTAACGACTTCAAATCCCTGAAGGCATTTAATTTTCAACCTTGAAAAGTAAACTGATAAGTAAAATTGACAATAAAATATAATAAACAAATTCAACTTAAAATAGTATTTTAGAAGTACACTATCAATATGGAGAAAAAAAACATAGTTTGCATAAAAAATTGAACCCAAAGAACAGAGTAGAAAAAGAACAGATGGATTCCATTTAATGCCTACCGTTGACTAAAAGGCATTATGGAAGGGATCTTCTGTTTTTGTAAAGATTATAAAGAGATATATAATGCAATAAGAAATGACTACTGAGGCAGGAAAACTATAGCCTAAAATCCAGCTAACTCAGCATATTTAATGACATTTATATAGAAAGCAGGCTGATTTGGAGGGAGAAGTAAACAGATCTTGTGGAATGCCCTGAGTGAGATATTGGATGGAAAATTAAGTGAGGTCAAAGCTGAAATAAAAAGCATATTTGTATACATAAATTTCAGCCTGTGCATTTGGACACTTTTGAGAAGTGTAAACCTCTTCTCCCTCTCACTGACGTGGAGGCTGGTGTGCTTATGTTTCCCAGAGTTAGCAGGGTCACATTGCTCTTTCTGTGCTACTTATCTGTATCCCTGCAAGGATAGGTTTTATGCTGAGTGGCTTTGAGGTTCATGCCTTTGCGTGTATTCATCAGTTGAATTAGGACTGTGTTGCTCTGTAGCCCACTTTTCTTGATGGCCTCTGAGGAGGGAGACCATTCCCCAAAGGTGAATAGAGAGATATCTATACTTGGCCAAATTCACTCAGTGAGAAAATGCAATATGACATTTTTAAACATGCAAGGAATCACAAAACAGTATGTCTCTTGTAACTCCTTTTTTTTGGGGAAATACTGGGGACTGTGCCGAGGAAGAAACTTAAAAAAAGGAATGGCATCCGTGAAACAAGAGATTCCCAAAGGTGAGTCGTGAAGTTAATTCGCAGTATTAACAGCTGTACAGTCAAAGTTAGAATAGAAAGATCAGGGGCTATGAAAGTGGCATCCAATGGGGAAAAAGGTACCTGATATGCCTGGGCATTTAGAACGATGATTGTGCCTTGACAGACATGCTGGAGCATATTTAAAAAATACCCAAGGAGACATAGATAACCCAAATGAGTAACAATTTCAGAGAAACTTTTACAATAGAAACCTAATCCTAATATATTACATAAATGATAACGTAATCATCCAACAATTTCAATATTGCTAAGATGAGTAGGTTAAGAGGTTTGGACTATAGGGTAGAGTAGAAGATTCAAAAGTGCTAAATCACTCATAACAGGATATAAACAAATGCTCTGAAAATTGTATCAGAAAGTGTTTACTCCAGGAAGTAAGACTGGTGGTAGGGAATTTGGGGAAAGGACATTACTATTTTTGACATTTGTCTTTTAACATTAAGTAATGTTTTAAAATATGTACTTTATTTTTAAAAACTAAAAATAAGCTGGGCACGGTGGCTCACGCCTGTAATCCCAGCACTTTGGGAGGCCAAGGTGGGTGGATCATGAGGTCAAGAGATCGAGACCATCCTGGCCAACATAATGAAACACCGTCTCTACTAAAAAAAAAGAAAAGAAAAAAATACAAAAATTAGCTGGGTGTGGTGGCGTGCACCTGTAGTCCCAGCTACTTGGCAGGCTGAGGCTGAAGAATTGCTTGAACCTGTGAGGCAGAGGTTGCAGTGAGCCGAGATTGCGCCACTGCACTCCAGCCTGGCAACAGAGTGAGATTCCATCTCAAAAAAAAATAATAAAATAAATATAAATAAAAATAATTTTTGAAATAATCTACATATTTTGAGGATCTGGTTAGTTTATATTGCTTTCTTATACATTTTATTCTTCTAATAACACAATTATTAGCCCACAGAGTTTCATAAGACATATCTTCTTATCTACATTTTTTCAGGTAGGAGTTTGTATCTAGGAGATGTTAAATAACTTGCCTAGTCACATTTTTTAAGTGGTGTAGGGAGTAGAATCTGAGATTTTTCTGGTTCAGTGTTCTATTTATATACATTGCTGTTAATTACGATTTTGGTTGCGAGTTTAATACACTTTCTACACAAGGATTTATTTTACTGGGAATGTCTAAATGCAATGTTTTATCTTCTTTGAGGAAATACTTGTATAATGTGATATGTCAAAACAGATGAAAAAATTTACTCACTCAGTAATTCCTATTTAAATTGTCAAAAACACTGGGGCTCTTGAGTGGATCTAATCAAGCTGGATGAATTTATAAGTAGGTTTATATCAATGTTCAACTGCTGACAACATAATATTGTTTGTTTAAACATTGAATTGTAGGAAAAATGTGTTTTATGGCAAGTTAGAAAACAAAAGAAAATGAGCTGTCCCTGTGGAGATCTGCACTGTGTACAAGAACAGTTCTTGCTTGTCCTGTACTGTTAACATCAAGGATACTCTAAGCACCTGTGAGACATGATCTCAACCATGCTCATAGCTCCTAGGACTCAGCTCACAGGATTCAAATAAGCTGTGGGAACAAGTGGCCTTAACAAAAGATAATTTAGGCTCTCAGGTCATACATCCAATTGTGTCACAATCCTTTCATTCAAGCTTGATTACAGTGATAAATTATGGGTGCAAAGCTGATGGACGCTGCATAAATATAATAGGTGAATTTTATATATATATAAAATTTTTTTCTGTGTTGGAGTTATGAGTTTTATTTCCTCTGGCCTAGTGAAAAAAAAACAGTTTTACTGCCTACAGAAAGAATGTGTTGTAAAAGACACCCATCTAAACAGATGACTTCAACATAAACATAAAAAACAAAAAGTGTATGTATGTATATATGTGTGGTTGTGGGATTAATTACCAATCCTCGTTCACTAAAGATATTGGGGATCTTTTCTACCTTGGTCCTGTCTAGAACTCTTTTTTTCTTTATTTTGAAAATTTGTTAATTTTCTCCTACTAAGACAGTTACAAATCAGTTCACATTTTTTTCAGGTAGATCTTTGGATAAAAGTAATATCATCATTGCAAAGAATTCTGGTTTTATAAAATTATTTAAACTTCAGTTATTAATATGCAAAAATGCCATTGACTTCTTTTAAATAGCTTTGATTTTCCAATTTTTATTGTCATTGAGATTTTGGAGTTGATGGAGACATGACTCCTATTGTGTCCAAATATTTTTGCTAATAACTTCTCTTTTACTGAGATGGGATACTCTCACAGTTATTTTTATCAAATTGTAAATTCTATTCTTATTTTGCTACTTTGGCCAGTGTTCTGTCAAGGGGTAGCAGCTGTGAGTAAAAATTATGGAGTATAGTTGTTTAGACATCTCATCACATTTATAAGTTTTGTGTATACATAAGAGGAAAAGACAGTGACATAGTTCCTACATTTTCTTTGAATATTTTGTCAAAAATTTTATTAAGACTTTTTGCTAGTCAGTTTTTCTATATGTCTCCTTTAAAAAATATTTTGTTTTACACATATTTGAGCACTGAGAGTATGCTGAATTGAATACTTTGAGTTGGCTATATAGGAGGCCCCAAGGAAGTGAGGCAATAGACAATAAACCCATAAACCAATAGAAAAGAACATTGTGACTGGAAGTCATGATTTTAACAATTTTGAGGAAATGCAATATTTTAAAGATTCTTCTAAATTATTAAAGCACATTTATTTTCAGTAGCACTGTGGAAGCAAATAATTCCTTCCTTGTTCATTGACCTTTGCATTAGTTTCTTAGGGATATATCGGAAGAAAGTTTTCTACAAAGTACCACAAACTTGGTGGCTTAAATCAAGAGAAATGTATTCTCTCATTACTCTGGGTGCTACTATAATTTATTCTGAAGAAGAATCCTTCCTTTCCTCTTTTTAGCTTCTGGTGGTTGCTGGCAGTCCCTGGCATTCCTTGGCTTCCTTGGCTTATAGCTGTATCATTCCAATTTCAGCCTTTGTTTTCACATATCCTTCTTCCCTCTGTGTGTGTCTGTCTTCACAGGTCTTTGTTTTTTTCTGGTTTTTGTTTGTTTGTCTGTTTTTGAGACAGGGTCTCATTTTGTCACCCAGGCTAGAGAGCAGTGGCAGAGTCATGGGTCACTGCAGCCTCAACCTCCTGGACTCAAGCAATCCTCCCACCTATACCTTCTGAGTAGCTGGGACTACAGGTGCACGCCACCATGTCTGGATAGTTTTTAAAATTTTTGTAGAGATAGGGTCTCACTATGCTGCCCAAGCTGGTCTCAAACTCCTGGTCTCAAGTGACCCTCCTATCTTGGCCTCCCAAGGTGCTGGGATTATTTGTGTAAGCCACTGCACCTGACTGTCACAGGCCTTTTTATAAGGACAGCAGCCATAATACAGGGCCAACCATGAGCCAATATGGCCTGGTCTTAACTAAGGATATCTTCAACCACTCCATTTCCAAATAAGATCACATTTATACAACTTTATTTGAGGCTTAAACATTCATAATTTTAATATGTTTTTATTTAAAAGTCAGTACTAAATAGATAATTTCTTTTAGTAGAAATTAGTGTTTGTTAGACTATATAAAGAGCTTTGCAATCAGATAGATGTGTTAAAATTCCTTCCTTCCCTTTTGACCTTGAGCCAGTTAGTGATCCACTGATTTTTTGTAAAATCCAGTTGCTAATTATCTCAGGTAAATTCAGATGAGCTGACTGATTCAAACCCAAGAAATCGCTGGTAGATGTCATCTCCTCCCTCTTTATATCTGTATTGTTAAAGGAAGAGAGACTCTAAGAAACATACCCAGAGACAAGTGATTCTTTTCTCAAGCTAGGGAAGATAATGCAACATTATAAAGTCATTTGGACTGATTTTCTTTTCTATTCATATTTTCTACGAGGGAAATAATTTGTAAATAAATTCTTTGTCTTCAGAGTAGGATAATAAATGCCATGCATAAAAGGCTTGTTCTCCTAAGCATTGGCCTAAGAAGAAGTTGTCAGGATTTGGATATATCTCCCCATTACTGATACATTGACCTCATCCTTCAGGGATGACTCAAATATCAATAATGTAGTTAATATTCATTTTTTATTTGTCTGGACTGAAGAATTGTTATGATCTGAAAGGGGATTTTTAAGGAAACTGCAAGTGATTTACTGATGGATGACTTACTATTGCTTACTGATATCCTTAATGTCCCACTGGGCTATATTTCCTCTGACTTGGGCCAGTTGCTACCTCATCCACTTTCTTTCTTTCTTTCTTTCTTTTTTTTTGAACATGACCAGACCAAAATACCTCTGTTAATCTATTCAGCCCCCATCATGCCTGCACTGATGAGGATTATCTGTCTAGATCCTCATTCTCACAGTTAAACCAGACGCAACTTGGCTTTTTATAAAGATGCTATGTAGTTTAATTTAACACCTGGAGTTGACCATACTCTTTTCTCTTAATTCCTGGTAACGTAGAATAATACTTAGCAAGAAAATTTTGGTCCCTTTATCATATTTTCAGAAATCCCAAGAACAGAAAATGCTAAATTATCCAATAGATCTGTACTTTTAAAAATATCTCTATATGACTTTTTAAATAATGACTTCAGAGTAGAAAACTTTCTTCAATATTACTATGTTTAAAAAATTTCTATAAAATTGATTTTATTCCTTGAACTCTGTCAAATGTCTGCTAAGATATATTAGCATCTATATATTTTATATTAGCATCTATGTATTAGATGTTTTCATTGCCACCTGGGGCAATGTAAAGGGAGTATAGAGAGGCAAGGGGTATAAATATATCTTTTAAGTCCTCTACTGTGGTGACGGTGGTCTATAATACATGACAATTTAGAAAATATTAAATTCATTTTATTAAACTCTGATCATTTTTGCAAATGTTTGTATACATATTGGTATAGTTTGGATATTTGTCCCTGCCCAAAACTCATGCTGAATTGTAATCCCAAATGCTGGAGGAGGTAGGGCCTGGTGGGATGTTTTATTAGTCCATTCTCACATTGCTATAAAGAACTACCAGAGACTGGGTAATTTATAAAGAAAAGAGGTTTAATTGGCTTATGGTTCTGCAGGCAGTACAGGAAGCATGGCTGGGGAGGCCTCAGGAAACTAACAATCATGGTGGAAGTCAAAGAGGAAGGAGGGGCATATTACATGCCCAAGGCAGTAGGAAAAGAGTAAAGAGGGAGGTGCTACAAACTTTTAAACAACCAGACCTCATGAAAACTCACTCACTATCATGAGAACAGCAAGGAGAAATCCACCCCCATGATCCAATCACCTCCCACCAGGCCCCTCGTTCAACATTGGGAATTGCAATTCAACATGAGATTTGGGTGTGAACACAAATCCAAACCATATCATTCTAACCCTGGCCCCTCCCAAATCTCTTGTTCTTCTCACATTGCAAAATACAATAATCCCTTGTCAATAGTCCCCCATTCTTAACTCATTTCAGCCTTAACTCAGAAGTCAACAGTCCAAAATCTCATCTGAGACAAGTCCTTTCTACCTAAGAGTCTGTAAAATCAAAAACAAGTTAGTTACTTCCAAGATACAATCAGGGTACCAGCATTGGGTAAATACACTCATTCCAAAAGGAAGAAACCAGATCTCACAAAGTGGCTTCAGGTCTCATGCAAATCGGAAACCCAGCATAGAAGTCATTAAATATTAAAGCTCCGAAATAATCTCTTTTGACTCCATGTCTCACATCCAGGCCACACTGAGGCAAGGGGCAGACTCTAAGGCCTTGGGCATCTCTTTGCTCACACATATGAACATATGCCATTAGCAGCAGCCAGAGCTATATCTTGAATGCTTTGCTCTTTAGAAATTTATCCCACTAGATACCATAAATCATCTCTCTCTCAAGTTCAAAGCTCCACAGATCTCTAGGGCAGAGGCACAATGCCTCCAACCTTTTTGCTAATGAATAACAAAAGTGACCTTTGCTCCAGTTCCCAATAAGTTCCTCATCTCTATCTGAGGCCTCCTCAGTCTGTACTTTATTGTCCATGTCACTATCAGCATTTTGGTCACAACCATTCAACAACTCTTTATGAAGTTCCAAAATTTCCCTCATCTTCCTGTCTTCTTCTGAGTCCTCCAAATTGTTCCAGTCTCTGTCCATTACCCAGTTCCAAAGCTGCTTCCACATTTTCACGTATCTTTATAGGAATGCCTTACTTCCCAGTACTAATTTTCTGTATTAGTCTACTCTCACACTGCTCTAAAGAAATATCTGAAACTGGCTAATTTGTAAAGAAAAGAGTTTTAATTAGCTCACAGTTCCACAGGCTGTACAGGAATCATGGCTGGGGAGACCTCAGGAAACTTACAATCATGACAGAAGGTGAAGAGGAAGGAGGCGAGTCTTACATGGCCAGAGCAGGAAGAAAAGAGTGAGGGAGGAGGTGTTACACATTTCTAAACAACCAGACCTTGTGAGAACTCACTCGCTATCATGAGAATAATGAGGGGGAAATCTGCCCCCATGATCCTATCACCTCCGACCAGGTCCCTCATCCAACATTGGGAATTACAATTCAGCATATTTGGGCTGGGACACAAATCCAAACCATATCTGTGGCGTTTGTATCATAGGAGCAGATCCCTCATGGCTTGGTGCTGTCTTCACAATAGTGAGTGAGTTCTTATGAGATCTGGTAATTTAAAAGTGTGTGGCAATCCCCCGCCACCACATTTTCTCTCTTGCTTGTTCCTGCTTTTGCCGTGTGACTTGTTTGCTCCCCCTTCATCCTCTTCCATGATTGTAAGCTTTCTGAGGCATCCCTAGAGGCTGAGCAAATGCCAACACCAAGTTTCCTATAAATCCTGCAGAACCATGAGCCAATTAAACCTCTTTTCTATATACATTACCCAGTCTCAGATATTTCTTTATAGTAATGCAAGAAGGGCCTAATATACGTGTAAAATAAAGAAACTATCAGCTAGGATATTCGATTTACCAAAATATATAATCAAATAACTGTGGATACAACTTTCATTGTTTACATGAAATATAGGTGTTATGGTTTAAATATTCAGTCTCTATTTTTTTTGAAAGGGAGACCCTCAATTTTTTTTGTATTTTGCTACTTATGTTTAGCAGACTTCATTTACAATTTTGCGTATTAATGAGCAGATTAAATATAACCTTTTAGAAAACATCATGCCCTAGTCATGTCGTAGGTACAACATTTTCATATGATACTTTCAGTAATAAAATCCCTGAAAATCATCAAAACACAACTCCCTTTGCATACTATGCTGAAATTGTTTGGCTATGGTGATGTTCCAATATATGTATAAAATATAATAATATTACTACTTCAGTAGCATCTTAGGTGTGTTCAGTAAAAAAAAAGAAAGGGAAACACTTCTGTATGCTTGGGAAGAAATTTCAGCAGCAAAAGGACTCTTTAGAATATTTAAAATAAAACATGTGAACCCATCACTCAAAGTCATGAAGTGATAGGATGTTCTTCTTTAGGCAATCAGCTATTCATGGGAAGAAAAATTTGTCATTTACAGCTTTATGGTTTTGTTTTACAATTAAAGGAGTAAACTATAACCATTGATTAGTAAACTATAGGCTCCTATATAATTTTCTAAATATAAAATATGTTCTTTTCTATAAATATTAGAAACGCATTCTAGTAAAGAGAATTTAATGTGAACTGATCAAGTGAGAAGAAGTTGCATACATTTAAAAAAATCATGTAGTCTCATTTTTGTTATAAATCTTGTTTTTGTAGCCCATGTGTTATTTTCTTAATTACTTTTCTTTACCTAGCCATTGAAGATAAATAATTGGAAAACAGCAGCAGAACATCTATTATGACTTGGTATCAGTTTATTATTGAATTATTTCTATGAACTACTGCTGATATTTTTGTCACTCCACACTTTCATGTGTTGAAAACCTAATCATTAATTTGATGGTATTAACAGGTGGGGACTGTAAGGGGTGAATAGTTGATGAAGGTGGAGGTCTCATGAATGAAATTCATGCCATTATAAATGATGCCCCAAAGAGCTGCCTTGCTGCTTCCACCATGTGAGGACCTAGGGAGAAGTTACTATCTATGAGAAGGCAGGCCCTCCCTGGACACCAAATCTGCTGGCATTTGGATCTTATGCTTCTCAGCCTCCAGAACTGTGAGAAATAAACTTCCGTTATTTAGAAGCTACCGAGTCTACGGTACTTTGTTGTAGTAGACTGAATGGAGGCAGACGAGTACAACTGTCCTTGATAAAGATATTTGATTAAAAAGGTGAAGTTTATATAATTATCATTATGAATATACTTTCATGTAATATATTTTAGAAAATTAACAAAAATTTGGCATCTTTATTCTTTAATCAGATTATACCACTTGAATGCACTATATATGACTGATTCTCTGACTTTTCAAACACTAATGCCAATCATTTTTAACTACTTGATATAAGAAAGTGTTTATAGAGAAGGATGCTTTTGCAATTTGTTTAACTTCTAATAAGATAATACAGTGAATATTACTTCCATCACTTATATAAAAGTTTGTTAAAAATACAAAAGCAAAGTGTTTAATATTGGGAGGAGCTTAGTAGAAATAAAGGATTTATCTTAGCTGGTTTGTTTCTTTCCATTAGACTACATTTTGTAGTCTTTTATATTGTTCATTTTCCTTTGCCTGCCATGAAGATAAGGGACATGTGATGGAATGATTAATTGCAGGAATTATTGTATCTTGGCTCTTGACTCTATTTTATCTATTTTATCTTGGCTCTAGTATGATTGCTATATTTGTTTTCTGAAATGTAAATTATCTTTTAATTATCCAACCATTTATATGTACAAAATCTCCTTTTATGTTTTTAAAAATTATAGTTAGGCCAGGTACAGTGGCTCATGCCTGTAATCCCAGCACTTTGGGAGGTAGAGGTGGGCAGATCACGAGGTCAAGAGATGGAGACTGTCCTGGCCAACATGGTGAAACCTTGTCTCTACTAAAAATAAAAAACAAATTAGCCAGGCATGGTGGCACTTGCCTGTAGTCCCAGCTACTTGGGAGGCTAAGGCAGGAGAATTGCTTGAACCCAGGAGGCAGAGGTTGCAGTGAGCCAAGACTGTGCCACTGCACTCCAGCCTGGGTGACAGAGTGAGCCTCTGTCTCAAAATAAATAAATAAATAAATAAATAAATAAATAAATAAATAATAAAAGTTAAGATTTCTCATTAAAGCTTACCCTAATCCCAAGTAGTAACCAAAGTTATCCCTTTAGTTATCTTTCTAGAAGGTATCTTCTGGTGCCTTTATACTAGTGTTTCTTTATTGTAGATTCTGAGGTATGGATTCAAATACTTTAAATGTCGGTATATCCTTCCAAATTGCCTTCAGAGTGACTATAACATTATATATAAAGCATTCATTTATTCATTAATTTATTCAACCACATATGTGGTGTAACACTCAAGAAGATATATATTCTTGAATATATATATATATATATATAGAGAGAGAGAGAGAGAGAGAGAGAATATATATCTCAGGAATATATAACATCAAGACTGTAGTAATAGTGTAGGTATAAATAAATAGATCAAAGCCAAGAAAAGAACCACTAGGAATAGACCTACACATACATGGTCAGTTGATTTTATTCTCGAGAATATATATCTAATTGAGTGCTACAATAAGTATAACATCTTTTTGCGTTCCCAGACATATGCTTCTGTATCCTTTTCTCTGTCCTAGGAGGATCACCTACTTAACCACATGAATGGGCACCTTTAATCTCTGGCTTCCAATTGAGTTCAACCTCAGAGCCCTGACAAAAGAGCAGAGGAAGAAAGGAAACTAAAATTAAGGCTCCTCTTCTGTTTGGTTTCCTTGAGCTAGATGTATCCCAAGAAATACGCAGCTCCTCTTTTCTTCCAGGTTCCAGTAATCACCTTACTCCTCTTAATTCTTTGGCTAAGAGCCTCAGTGTTGTTAGCCCCAGGGTGCAAAAATACCCCTTGTGATTTCCCTCTCCTGATCCCACCTGGTATGTTTGTCCTTCACTAAGCATTCCTTGAATTATCCTGCATTGAGTGTGTCATCCCTCTCCTGCTTGGCCCTAACTGACCCAAGAGCATTTTAATTGCTAAACTCAACTTTAGCTGCTGGGAATACAGGAGGGAAAAACACAACAAAACAGTAACTGCTCCCACAAAGAAAAGCTCAAAGCCAGATGGCTTCACTGGTGAATTCTAGCAAATATTTTAAAAAGAAAAACAGAAACTATGAATATACTTTTAACAAAAAAAGCTTTATAAAAAGAGATATTTTAAAACAACAATGATATATTTAGCTTACAAATCTATGAGTAGACAAGTTGTGCTCACTCTGATGGGTGATATTTTTTGTTCTTGCCTAAGCTCATGCAGGCATTTGCAGTCAGGTGCTTGTTGGCCAAAGCTAGGCTGGTACAGGATGCACTCAGCTGGGTAAGACTGTCTTTTCTCCATGTGATCTTTCAATCCCAAGCAGGGCACCTGGGCTTGTTTGCATGACAACCAGGCAGAATGAAGAAGCATGCAAGCTTGCCTTGTATGTCAGCTTGGAAATGGCATATCATTGATTATGCCATATTCCACTGGTCAAAGAAAGTTGTACCTGCCAGAGGCTCTCAATGGGAGGAATTATAAAGTCATATTGCAAAGGTAAAGTAAGGCTATGGATGAAATCTGTTACAATTATCTAAATTCAATCTATACCTAGTTGTAAATCAACACAGAAATCTTTACCTGTGAAAATGGCCCAACACTTTTACTTTTTTCTTAAGCTTTTAGGAGTCTTTAAATATGTTTTGCATACAAGTTATTTGTCAGACCTATGCCTTGGGGATATTTTCTCTTAATCTGCAGTTTGCTCATTTATTTTCTTAATGGTTTATTTTGATGAGCACACAATTTTAATTTTGATGAAGTTGTATTTATCATTTTTATATTTTTTTGTAATATCTGAGATATCTTTGCATACTGCAAGATTGCAAAAATAATCTTTACATATTCTGCTAAAAAAATATTTTCTATTTTTTCATTTAGGTCTATGATGATCTTCAAATTACTTTTTGTTATACTATGAGGTAGTACTTGAGGTTCATTTATTTCCCATATAGTTATCTGACTATTTCAGCACCATCTGCTGAAAAGACTTTCCCATCACATTGCTTTGAATCTTGTCAAAAATTAATTGACCGCGTATGCGTGGATCTTTTTCTAGTCATTCTTTTTTTGTCACTGATCTATTTGTTTATACCTACGCTATTACCACAGTCTTGGTTTTATAGTAATTCTTGAGATCAGATAATATAAATCCTCCAAGTTTGTTCCTCTTTTTCAAGACTGTTTCAGCTATTCTGTGTCTGTTGAATTTTCATGTACATTTTATAAACTGCTTGTCCATTTCTACGAAAAATGATTGCTGAGTTCTGATTAAAGGGGTATTGAATCTAAATAACTCTACGTTAAAGAGGCAAACAACTACTTTAAAAATGAGCAGAATGCTTGAAAAAAATACTTCACAAAATTTATACGTGAATGGACTTAAGCCTGTGAAATGGGGCTCAATATTATTAGGCATCTGGGAAATTTAAGTTAAAACTATGATGAAGTACTACTTTACACCAAAAAGAACTGCTAAGATCAAAACAAATGACAACAGGAAATGGGGGCAAGCGTGGAACAGCTGGGATTCTCTTTTTGGCAGTTTCCTAAAAACTAAACTTTCATCCTTCCTGTGGTACAGCATTGCCACTCTTCAGTAATCCCTCAGGAGAAATGAAGGCATCGGCCTCCAAAAAGAGCTGTATTCTAATGTTTATGGTAGCTTTATTCACAGTTACCTAAAACTAGAAATAACCCAAATGATCTTAACAGGAGAATGGATGTACAATTTGCAATCTACACATACAATTGAATACTACTCAACAAAATGAAAAGGATTAATAAATTATTGATCCATGTAACAACATGAGTAAATCTCAAAAAAAGTTGAGTAAAAGAAGTCAGACAGAAAAGAGTGTATGTATACCCTATGATTTTCAAGTATACGAAGTTCAAGAGCAGGAAAAACAAACCAAAGGTGATAGAAATATGACCAGTGGTCTCAGTTAGGGTGGGAAAGTTTGGCAGAAAAGTCTATGAAGAAATTCTCTGGAGTGAAGGAAATATGATATATCTTAATTTGGGTGCTAGTCACACAAGTGTATACATTTGTCAAAACTCTTTGAACTGTGTACAGACAATCTATAATTTCACTACATATAAGGTATAATTCAATAATAACAATGATAAAATATGACAAAACCAAAACAAATTATTCTTGAAGAATGTAAAGACTGCAGTTGTGCCTGTATGTACTGCTCTAGTCCTCCTTTAACTTTACTGCAGGACAAGGCAGAATAGGAGGAGCCTATTTGCCTCATTTGCCAGTTTTTGGAAAAATTTCTTCCTTTCGCTGAAGTGTAATGACAAATAATTTCACTTCAACAATCAGTATTAATCATAAAGTCACGTTATCTGAACCACCTACCAACACTTCTGCTTATTTTTACAATGCCTTTCAGTTCTGACAATAGCCTGTGGTATTTCTAACCTTTAATTCCTTGAAAACTCTTTGTTCAATGGTGGAAATATTGCTCCTGTATAAAGTAATACCTGTAAACCAACATGACTCAGAATCATGAGAACATAAGGCAACAATCCGTGTAAAATCACTACAGTTAAATAGGAGAGATGTAACTCCTACTTCCATACTTGGTTATACTGATCCATGAATTTTGATTTAAGAGAAGCAGCACCATGTATTTATTGGCACTCCTAATGTGTAGTGTATATTGTAGGACAGTGCTCTAATATCACAAGGTGTTATTTCCTGTAAAGCAATATTTCTCCATTCCATAATGTTAGTTACTTCTGGATGGTGGTAGACATGGCAAAAGACCAAAAAATCTTCAGCCAATTGCCTTATTTTTTTTTAAACAAGGAGTATTTTGGTCAGAGTAATGTTCTATGGAGCCCTATACTAGAACGTAAGATAGTAAGAATCCCATAGATAATTCAGTTGACAAGAAGAGTAAACAGAGGAGGAGAATCTAAATTCAGAGTAAAAACTTATTCTGTTGATAAGAAATTGTTGCCTCTGAAGATGAGAGGCACCTGTATAATCTTTGTGTCACCAGTTGGCTTGCTGGTTGCTCTGGGTATGGTACTACATTTGAACCACAGAGGTGGTTGCTAATGTGAAAGCACTGGATGCTTAGTAGTAGAGGTTCCTAATTAAACCTTGTTGAGGATTCTATGTTAAAGTAAAAGTACAAATGATTAACTCTGTTACCATGGCTATTTGTTCAAAAACTTATTAACACCAGTGTGTCTGAAAAAAAATTGGCAAATTGACATAAATTGGGCTATTTTGTCTGTGTGATTACTGAAAGAATCATTCAGGAAAGAATCTGATGATTTGTGTATGAGGCATACATTTCTTGCAATGTGGATCTATTAATAGGTAATATAGCCCACAGCCCTGGATCTCCTAGAAAATCCACTGAAATGACAGAAACCTATCATTTTATTATGGAGCAAAAGGGGCTTACTGCCTGATGTGCTAGAAGCCAATATAATGACACCAGGTTTTTGAAAAAAAAAAAAGAAGAAGAAGCTTTATATTCAAAGTCGACTCTCAAGGAGATGTAAATCAAGCTCAAATCTGTCTCCCCATGCTGGCTTCAATGCAGTCTTTTTATTAGAAATGGTTCAGGGGATGGATTCTGAGATTAGTAGGTGATTGGTAGAAGGAAAGGGGAGGTCTGGAAAGTCCTTGGACATGTGCAGTTCATGGTAACTCATGGGTTGCATGTGCAAATTCAGGGGGAGTTAGCGTGAAACACGTGGTGGAAATTCAGACTGTGACGTCAGTAAGCTCCTTCTGCACAAACTCCAGTCAGCCATCTTAGTTCCTACCAATTTCAGCCAGTTGTTTTTCATCTCACAAGCAGAGGGCATTTCGGCATTGCAGCAAGTTGTTTCTTTTCTTATGTGCTATCCTGTAAACTCAAGAATGTTTGTTAGTTACCAGGTTCTTACTCTTTGAGATACAGTTTCAATATTAGCTTTTTAGGACCTTGCTTCTTTTCTTATATGCTATTCTATAAATCCAAGAATGTAGTCATTGGTTTAACTCTTTAGGCCACAGTTTCGATTTCATGAGATTTATGTCCCATAACTGACACCCACGTGCCATACTAAGACATTTGAATATCTTCTGTGTCTTACTTTTGAGAACATATTAGCATTACATCATCGAAATAGTGTGTAATTTTGATGTTCAGTGGCTATGCTAATGTGATTAAGAACTCTTTGGATTTTGGATGACTACATGGTAAAGAGCAGAGGCATTTATGTAAATTATAGATAAGAAGGAGATGGCTTATTGCTGTCACTACTTGGTAAAAGCCAACTGTTTCTAGTATTCTCTTTATTGGAATACAAATAATTTGCTAGATCAGTAGATGCATAACAGGGTCCAGCAGTTATATAATTTACTCAAGTTAAAAGGCCACATTTACATTAGCAGCTCTCTTTAGTATGAGCCAAACAGTCAATCTAAAGGGGAATGTGACAGCATCACCCTGGAATTTTCCACTAGGATGAAATGTTCTTTTAGATTTACTATTTTGAGCAGTGGTGGGAGAGCCAAGACTTCTACTTGCCTTCTCATACAAACCTAGCTCCAGATATTCAGAGATGTTGAATGAATTTATTCCAAATACACACTAAAGAATTGGAGAAATAATCAAAATACTAAGGGCCAGCTGAGTCATGTATGAGCAGCAATCTAGCCAAAATTCAGTTGATCAATGATGCTCCCTCCCACCTTGGTTAGGAGATGGATAAGAAGTTCACACATGATGGATGAACTCCAAATGTCCTTGTCCTCTATGTATCTGGGTTCCTTTAGCTAAATTTGTACTCAGGTAGGGTCCAACCAAGGAAACAAAAGATAGGCTTATTACAGTATTTAAAACATAAATAATGTAATACATGGAATTTGTTAAATAGGTGGTGGAATATCTGAGAATCCACATACTGTAACGAATGATGAGAAAAATCCAGCTTCTTGCTATTGCTGTTACCATCCATCAGCATGGATGGACAAAGGAAGGAAGCAGATTTGCTAGAAGCCAAGCATCATAGAGTCAACTAGAAGAAGCTGAAATCACAGCAGACCTGTCTTGTGAAAGCTGGGGATGTGGACAAGATGACAGTCATTGAAGTACTCTGTGTGAAAAACAGAGAATGTGTAAACTAAATATTCTGGCTTGTCCCTCCCACCTTCCAAATTGCCTCTAGTTCCTCTTGTTAACTGAGCTAAATGGCAAGCCAACTTGCAGAGCCTGGAAATAAAGCTTGTAGGACTCATACCCACTGCAATGCAGTACAGAGCAGGAAATAGGTGAGAAATAGATCTAAGCTCAAATAGACCAACGAATGGCACGTTATACCAAAGGTTCTGATAATCCACTGCTGAGAAATAAGCCATACCAAAACTAAGTATCTTAAAACAATGACAATTTATATTTTGTTCATGAAGAGGCAAAAATGTACAGGGCTCTGCTATACTCAGTGTCAGCTACAGTGATCTGGAATTATCTGACATTTTGCTTACTCACTTGTCTGGTGCTTGATGCTGGTCATCTCCTGGGACCTAGCTGAGGCTGTGCTTGGAACAGCTCTATTGGCCTTTCCATGTGGCTGCTTGGCATACTCACAGTATGGTGTCTTGATTCCAAGGGTGAATATCCTGTGAGGAATAGTTTGTGAGCTGTTACTTCTGACATAGTCACAGGCCCGTCTGAATTTCAAGGAGAGAGACCATAGCCCTACACCTCTTGGTGGAAGAGTGTCAAAATCATATTATAAGAGGACATGTGAGATGGAATATATTGGTTTGGACATCCTCAGAAAGTATACCTGACATACCAAGAAATTTGCAGAATTCCACTTCTTTTAGTTCAGGCAACTGCTTGAGTATATTATTATCCAACTAACAAACTCCAAAATTATATTATATCACACAGCTTTTTGAATTCTGAATCCCTGATAAGTGTGTCCAAATTGTTGAACTTAGCCTTCTGCTCTGTCATCTTAGAATCTATCCCCACATATTCCTCAGGTTGTTCCCAGTATAAATTCTCAAAATTTTGAGATTTGAGTTTGTACTTTTGTGGGTTTAAATCTGTTATTTATTTATTTATGAGACAGAGCCTTGCTCTGTCTCCCAGGCTGAAGTGCAATGGCACAGTCATGGCTCACTGCAGCCTCTACTTCCCAGGCTCAAGTGATTCTCCCTACTCAGCCTCCTGAGTAGCTTGGGACCACAGTCATGCACTACCATGCCTGGCTAATTTATTTTTATTTTTTTGTGGAAATGGGGTCTTCCTGTATTGCCCAGGCTGGTCTCAAACTCCTGGGCTCAAGTGATCCTCCCGACTTGAACTCTCAAAGCATTGGGATTACAGGCATGAGCCACCATGCCCAGACTGGGTTTAAATTTATTTTGTTCCTTTGAGACATCCTAGACTCTAACCTTACAAGACTTGAGGGTGTTTTGAAATAAGTAATGAAAAAATTTGCTTTCCTTTGCCAATAAAGTGCCTTAGTGACATTATCACAAGAACTTCAAGGAAGATATCAAAAGCCTCAAAAAATAGGAGATATTTTTATCTTTCCAAGGAAGGTCTTGATTCCTCTATTATGTCTTCCGTTAAATGAACAGGCCCCCCTTTTTCCAAACATGAGTCTAGTCAAGGCTTTGAATTCAGCTATTGGTATAGTTTGGTAATTATAGATTAAATATTATGGCTATAATTGATAACTTTACTGTAGTAAGATAAATTTCTCATATCCTGGTTAGATTTTGTGCTGGGAATTTTTGAAATTCAAGTTTATAGTTCATTCTCTAAAATTTTTGACCTGTTTAGAAACAATCCACCAAGACTTTCTTGTATTACTCATTATCGTATATTTTATTATGATGTCTTACTGGTCCTTCAAAATCTTGCCTTCAATAAACTTTTCAGCCTAGGTGATCAAAGATTATTATTGCATATAATCTAAACATGTAATAGAGATCAGATTGTAGAAAGCACTGAAAACCATTATTGTTATTATTAATGTTATTATTTATCCCTTTTTATGAGACAGGCAGGGATATCTTAGTGAGTTTTTAACAAAAGAGTGAATAATCTGAATTAATTTTTAATAGTCTTATTCTAGATGCTCTGCCAAGAGTAGATTGTAGGAACAAACACAAAAGCAGGGAGGCCAGTATGTACTCTATTGAAATGATACATTTGTACCAAACTACAGTGAAAATGGACAAATTTTGAAGGTGAAGCCAATAGGATTAGCTGAGTAATTGCAGATGAGATGCGACAGAAAGGAGCCAAGAAGGAAAATAATGTTACTATTTACCAATATTGGGAAGAAGGGATGCTTAGCAGGTCATTAAATGGTGGGGATGGGGCTGGGTATCAAGAGTTCCACTTTAGATATAAATTTGGGGTGTTCATCAGACATTAAAATTTAGATGTCAAAGAAGTTGTTAGATATTTGAGCTAGAGTTCAGGGAGAGGCTAGATGTAAAGTTTAGGAATTGACAGCATATAAGTGCTATCAATTCATTTCATGTATTGAAGAAATTACATGTGATCACCAAAGAAGTCATTACAGACAGAGAAATCCAGAACATAAATGTAAGAGCACTACAATATTTACAGCTGCTAGCCTGAGAACAATTAATTGAAATATTAAAAGGGTGCAAGCCATGGTATCAAAGGAAAATTGGGATACATTTTATGAAGTCCTAAACAAGGAAAGTAGGTCTTGCCAGGAGAATGGAATAATCAAAATGACAAATGGGACAGATAAAGGAAATGTGCAGATGTGGGCTGAGAAACGACCATTGGCTGTGACAACATAGCATTCATTGGTCATATTAAAAAGACCAGTTTCCATGGAGTAGAAGCAGTGAAGAACTGACTGTATCAGGTTCAACAGCGAAATACAGAAAGTGAGCACAGACAACATAGTCAGAGTTTCAGTGGGTATTGGAAATGTTAAAGTCATTTGTTTATTTGAAATTCAATTTCTATCTTATAGTAACTATTATTATTAAATTGGTGCAAAAGTAATTGTGGTTTTTGCCATTAAACCACAATTACTTTTGTACCAACCTTAATATTTCTATTTTATATCAATTCCATTCTGTGTCTATTTTATAATAATTAATTTATTATTAATTAACTACCATCTGTGAAAGATAAAGTTGTGGCACTATAAACCTCAATCCAATTTGTTCCTCCCTAAATATTTAGGAAATATTTTTATCTGGTTACCTTGTAACACTTACATTTCTGCAACTACACTTACTGTAGTCTGCAACTATAATTCTCCTGGTTTCAAATCTTAATGTCATATTTATATGACTTCAGTAAATACCACCAGCCCTTCTAAATGGCTTCTCCACTTCTCAATTATATGTTTTGACTCTCTTTTGGTTAGCAAAGTTTAAATAAGTAGTTTTTGATTTTAAAAAAAAAGGCTCATGAAGGTGTCTTTGAGTTTTTTCATATTTGAAAACATCTTTCTTTTTTTATATTTGAGTGAAAATTAGGTTGAATATAATTTTCTTGGTAATGATATTGCCTCAATACTTTTAACATTTTACTGAACAGTTTCTGATTTTGTGAATGTCTTAGTCCAGCCCGATTTTCTCTTTTCAGGTGACTTTCTTTTTCTATCTAGATGAAGTATACTTTAAAAATATTTGACCTTTTTAACAGTCAGCATGTAACTCAAAGTTGATTTTATCTTTTAACTCATTTTGCTATAATTGGCATATTTTAATCTACTGATGCCAGTTTTCATTACAGGAAATTTTGCTGTATCATTTCTCTGAATACATTTTTCAGGTTCAGTTGATGCATTCTCCATTTTAGGAAGCTTCTGTTGGATCATCAGTCTCTTTGTACCTATTATCTCATTCTTATCACTTTAATCTCTTTGTCCTTTACCTCAGTGTTTAAAGTAACAGTACAGATTTCAGCAATGACTAATCTTCTTTGCTATTTATAATTTATTTCATTAGATAAGCTGTAGTATTGTTTCAGTTTGTAATATACTTCCTTTCCTCTGCAATCTTTTTCACCATCATTATTAAACAAGCAGCATATGTATGTATGTGTGTGTTCATGAGATTTTTAATACTGGGGTAGTTTTCTGTGTATTTGTATTAGAGATTTTTTTTCACTTTTCTACCAATTTGATTTCCTAGTGTTTTCTTCATTAAGATTTTCATTTTTTTCTTTGATAAAAAGAAAAAGCAAAAACAGGTTAAATTTCTTGTCTAAGAAAATCAGTACATAGATGAACGTTAGATCCTAAGTATTTTCTTTTTTCCTAGTCTAGGTAGGTATTATTCTATTCTATTATGTTCTTATCTGAACTTGGGTCATTCAAATTGTAGAAACTTCCTCAAATTGCCAGGTGCAGTGGCTTACACCTGTAATCCCAGCACTTTGGGAGGCCGAGGTGGGCGGATCACCTGAGGTCAGGAGTTTGAAACCAGCCTGACCAACATGGTGAAACCCCGTCTCTCCTAAAAATACAAAAATTACCTGGCCATGGTGGTGCTTGTCTGTAGTCCCAGCTACTCTGGAGGCTGAGGCAGGAGAATCACTTGAACGCAGGAGGTGGAGGTTGCAGTGAGCCGAGATTGTGCCATTGCACTTCAGCCTGGGCAACAGAGTGGGACTCCGTCTCAAAAAAGAAAACAAAAAACAAAAAAAAGAAACTTCCTCAAGTTTTGCCATTTTAGACTGTGAAAAATAACTACATAGGCTGGCTATTAGGCCTTATAGTCAGTAGGCTGCCATCCTTTTTTAGATGCATTTGTGATGCATCTCTATTTGAGTTAGTTTCTTCCTTCTTTCTGGCCTGGTCTTGCTACTTTGTTTCAGAAGTCAAAGTGGTTATAAGTCATAGACAATAAATTAAAACAGGGGTCATCTACACTGTGGTATTTTCTTACATATTTTGACAAATGAATGGTTAATGTGCCTGGTATCCTTTCAGTGCCGTTGCTACACTGCTTCTCTTAGGGCTACTTCAAGAGTATATGGATGGAAGGTAGATGTGGAGAGCAGGAATGAGGACAGGGCATGGAGTGAGAGAAACTTACTCTTTAGGGCCCCTAGCTTGGCTGGGCCTCTGCAGAAAAAAATATCTTTTCTGTAAACAAGAGTTCCAGCAATGTTTTCCTGATCAGTCTTTCTGTCACCCATTCAAGTAGAAACTATGTGATCCTTAGTCACGATCTCTTTCTAGGCCAGCTTCCACTTTTTCAGACTTTCCCTCCTGTCAAATGTCATTGCAGTGGCTGCGGAGATTTTTTATTTTTATTTTTTATTTTTTTTTCATTTTTGGCTGACTAAGTAAGTTTTGAGTTGAAAATAAATATTTTTAGTTTAGTTTTTTTTTTTTTTTTTTGAGACAGAGTCTTGCTGTGTCACTCAGGCTGGAGTGCAGTGGTGCCATCTCAGCTCACTGCAACCTCCACCTCCCATGCTTCAGCAATTCTGTCTCAACCTCCAGTGCAGCTGGGACTACAGGTTCCCACCACCACATCTAGCTAATTTTTGTATTTTTACAAAATTTTTTTTTGTATTTGTATTTTACAAAAATTTTGAGTTTCACCATATTGGCCTGGCTGGTCTTGAAATCTTGACCTCAAGTGATCTGCCTGCCTCGGCCTCCCAAAATGCTGGGATTATAGGCATGAGCCACCACGCCCAGCCCATATTTTTAGTTTTGAGTTTAGATGAGATGACTTCTTTTATGTTTGCTTTTGCCAGGAGCCAAATTTACTGCTTATCTAGAACCACTGTAGCCTCTTCAAAATTTCCACTCTCATATGCTCACACCTTGGTGTGGACTAAAGTCTTAGTTTCCAGAACTTAGGACCCCTGTTGACTTTTGCCCCAGGTAAAAAAATTAATGGCATTTATTAAACAGATCTTGTTTTAGTTTATGTTTGTTTGTTTGTTTTCCTCTTTTTGGTGATTTTCTTCTATGAGGCAAGTAATGCTTTTAAAAGTATGTTCCTGGTGGTAATTCAAGACTATTTGTGCTGTAGTAGGGGAGACCTTTTCCTGTCCCCGATAGCCTTCAGGAATCAGAAGTCTCTTAGCATTCAATATTTATTGCTCATATTTAAACTCGTTTTCCAAATATGTGTAAAATTAATCAGCATCTATATATCTGAGAGAAACAAACATCTAATCATACTTCTGATTCCCTTAGCTATCTTCTGTCAAATTGGTCAAAAAGAGAGTCTGTCACTTTCTTACCACCAGTCTTTACTTCCCCCACTGATTTTGTCTGGCAACTTATTTCTAGATTTGTTATATTTTCCCATTTATACATATCTATACTTAACATTTAGCTTTACAGATTTATTCATTCATTTTTTTCCCTGCAACCTTATTCTCTCTCTTGAATTAAATTTTCTTCTCACTGAAGTGTATACTCTAGGAATTTTTTCATTAAACTTTTAGATGATATACTCTGAGAAGTTTCATGTTTGAATTAGTTGTGCTTCAGCCTCGTCCTTGCTTAGCTACAGAATCTGTTTTTTCTCCTTTGAAAATGTTCATTGTTTCCTGTATTCTATTGTTGATGAGAAATCTGAAATAAGTTTGATTGTGGTTTATTCTAAATCTTTTTTTTTTGTCTGAAAGATTTGTTATTTTTGTTTGTTGATCCTCTAATTTTACTACACATATTTATTTTTAAATAATTATTTTATTTTTTCCTGCTTACCACTTAGAGGCTCTTTCAATTTGTATATGCACATCTTTCCTTGGCTTTGGAGTATTCTCTTTTCTTTTTCTTTTTTGAGATGGAGTTTTGCTCTTGTTGCGCAGGCTGGAGTGCAATGGCTCAATCTCGGCTCACCGCAACCTCTGCCTCCCAGGTTCAAGCGGTTCTTCTGCCTCAACCTCTCAAGTTGCTGGGATTACAGGTGCCCGCCACTCCACTCAGCTAATCTTTTGTGTTTTTAGTAGAGACAAGGTTTTGCCATGTTGGCCAGGCTGGTCTCGAACTCCTGACCTCAGGTGATCCACCCACCTCGGCCTCCCAAAGTGCTGGGATTACAGGCATGAGCCACCGTGTGCAGCCTCTCTTGTCTTTCTTTAAAGACAACCTATCCCCCACTTTCTTTTCTCCTTCCTTTTCCATTAGAAGGACTGGGAAAATCTGCCTTCATTTTCTATTTCCCTTATCTTTCTTAACCACATTTTTCACAATTAATCCCTTTGTGATGCATTCTGGAAAGACTTCGTGGCTGCATTTTCTAGAAAAGTAATATGCTATTTAGCTCTATTCTTTTAAGAAAATAAATCCAACATAACTACCATTTTATACAATATTTCAACAACCATTACAAAAATTTTACCTATGTCTATGTATTTTTTCTTTTATGGATTTTTTATGAACTTTAATCTTGATGATTATATTGTTTATACTTAATTTAAACTTGAATTCCACAGGTTACTTTTATATCAGATTTTAAAATTCGGAGCACTTATTCTTAAAAACAAAATTTATGTAAGCCCCTGGAGAGGCAAAGTAAATGCATGCAAACTTTCTGCCTTTGCTCAGGAAGTTAGAAGCAACCATATAATGAAGAATATAATGAAAAGCAGTGCAGGGAAGTTATGACATAGAGTTAGCATAAAAACTCCAAATTGAAACTTTAGGATTATAATATGGAGGACTGGATTTAAGTCTTCGTTCATGTTAGACCTTTATATTTCATGCAATTGTAATTACTTTGGTTTGTTGCTCTAAGTTTTTTATGTTACTGGCTTTATTCATATTCTTGTTGAATTTTTGATGTGCCTTCTTTTTTGTATTTGACATTTTCTGTTAGACATTCTTCTGTGTCTGTTCACATAGTTTGTTTAGAAGGTGCTGCAGGTTACTAATGGTTATACTTGGCCTATCATTTGTGGAGGAAGGAGGTGGCCAGAGGGCTGGAGGGAAAAGACCTGCAGGTAACTTATGGCTGGGGTCTTCCTAATCCTCTTGGAAATGACTAGCCACTTGAGACACTGCTTTGATGAGTTATTTGTAGGTGCATCTGTGCAGAAGAAAAATGATCCCAAATGGAAGCTTGATGATGCAGAAAGGAATGAAGAGTGTGGCATAATGAAAAATACCTGAGGAGAGTTAAAAAAAAAAACACCGTTTTTATATTTGAAACCAAAAAATAATTAACTATGATGTGTGAGTTTGAAAACAAGTGAAGTATTAAAATTTATGCTAACAATAGCATGAAGTTGAGAAAGGAGGTAAGTGGATATAAACTTTTGTAAGGTCCTCATGTTGTTTAAGTGGTAAAAGTATTTATTTAAGGCAGGCTATAAGCAGCTAGAGCTGCATATTTTCATGTCTGCATTAAAAACTAAGCACTAAAAGAATAATATAGAAAGGTATAAATAATACATGAACAAAGGAGGTCAAACAAAATAGTAAATGATATTTCATTATTCAAGGGAATAGTAGAAAAGAAGAATAAAGAAATAAATAATACATGGAACAATTTGAAAATAAATAGAAAAATGGTAGATTTAAATCTATATATAGGTGATTAAAGTAAACATAAGAGAAATAAACGGTTAAATGACAAAGGTCATCAGAAAGGATAAGATAATGAAAGGCCAGTCATTTTCTCTTTACAAAAGTCATACTTTAGATGAGAAAGTAGATAGATTGAAAGAAGGCAATTAAAAAAAATCTTATGTCATGAAAATATAAAAATACTAACCAAAAGAAGTCTGAGGTAACTATGGTAATATTAAAACTCCAAGATTTAATGTAGGAAATATTATTAAAGGCAAGAAAAGACATTTAGTTTGTTTGTTTGGTTGGTTGGTTTTTGGTTTTTTTGAAATGGAGTCTTGCTCTGTTGCCCAGGTTGGAGTGCAGTGGCGTGATCTCAGCTCACTGCAACCTCCACTTCCCGGGTTCAAGCGATTCTCCTGCCTCAGCCTCCTGAGCAGCTGGAATTACAGGCATGCAACACTACGCCCAGCTAATTTTTTTATTTTTAGTAAAGATCGGGCTTCACCATATTGGCCAGGCAGGTCTCAAACTCCTGACCTCGTGATCCACCCACCTTGGCCTCCCAGAAAAGACATTTTTAAGTAGATAAAACTGTCCTTATAAACCATAAGGCTCTGACTTGACTGGTATGAAATCTATGTATGTAACACAATTGCACTTGTACCCCATAAATTTATACACATAAAAATAAATAAAATAAGTTAAAAATATAAATAAACATGGAGGCATACACATATTAAATTTATATGTAGCTACTAACATTGCTTCAAAATGCAAAAAGTCAAAATTTAACGACATAAGAAGGAAAATAGAAAAATTTAAAATCATATTTGAAATTTGAACAGAAATCTTAGCAACAGTTAAACAAAGCTGACACAAAACCATAAAGGATATATCATATTTAAATAACACAATTAACCAACTTTTCCTATTTGACATTTATAGAATGCTATGCCAAGAATGGCAGAATGCATATCATTCGTGAGTAAAAAAGGGACACTTCTCAAAATTAACTATATGCTAACCACTTAAGCAAGTGTAAACAAATTTTAAAGTATTGAAATAATAATTGAGATTTTTCTGATCAAAGTGGAATTAAACTGTAAAGCAACACTAAAATATATTTTTTTAATCCCCAAATGCTTGGAAATTAAGCACACACTTCAAAACAACCCATGGGTCAAACAAAACTCACAATAAAATTATAATATACTTTGAACTGAGTAAAAATAATACAACTTATCAAAACTTATCAGATACAGAAAAAGAAGAGGATATAGAGACATTTATAGCTTTAAATGCCTATATTGGAGCAGGGGAAGGATGAAGCAGTCAAGAAGTTACACGTTGAAGTGTTATCAAATATCTTATGTTTGAGAGTCTCATTCTGCATACAGGAAGGTAATTCTCTTAGCAAGAATCATAATTTCATTGATAATTTATACATTATCCATTGTCACAGTGATTCTAAAATTCTTAAGATGAAAACATAAACAGAAATTAGTCACTTTAATAATAAGCACATAAGTACTGTATATAACATAAGTATATAAAAAATTAATTTTCTCAGTGAAGATTATTTAACTATTACTTTTCAGCACCAAATTAAACCTTTTATACTCTGCTCTTATTCTGTTGTTTGGATTCTGCAAATTGCATTGACTGCACTTCACTGTGGGCTGGCTTCACAGTAAGTCAGACAGTAGACATTAGAGAAAGCATGGAAAGTAGGAGTTGTGGAGCAGTGATTCATTAAAGCTGATGTACTACAATCATGTGTTTTATTCAATAGGAGTAATACATTAATTATAACTAAATATTTTTAAAAGATTATTTCTTTTTAATATGATATAACATTATAGAAAACTAGAAATAAAATATAATAAATATAACAAAGTCCATGACCTTCAGATTAGAAACCTATGAAATGATGCCTAGCAGAGGAACCTATTCTGTTTTAACATTATGAAAAAGGGTAAACATAATACTTTGTATCCACAGTAAGGGGAAATTTACTACAATGATTAACAGGCATCAGAACACACACACACACACACACACACACACACACACACATACACGCCAAAACAAGGATTTAGGAAGAGCAAAACTATAGGCTGGGTTTTTGTTGTAGCTTTGGCATCCCTGAATATGTAAAAATGACTTCATTGCTCCATGGCTATTTTTCCATCCTATTACCACCTGTACCAACTGGTTTATTCTCTGCTCTAATATCTTTTCTTTCCAGTTTTATAGCAGTATTTATATTTTCTCATTTTTTTTTTCAAAACTTAATTGAAAGATAGTACATTATGCCTCTCTAGCGTTTATCAATATTATGACTTTTTGGCTTTTGAATATATTGGTAACTACTCTTTATGTTTTCTATATTTAAATTACTAAGAAAATAATATTAATATTTCCTTTTACCCTTATTTTATTATTTCAATCCATAATAGAAGCAACAATCAGTTTGGGATCAGGTATTAACATTGTTTAAATCCACGGTGGCTGGGGTATTGGTTATTTTTGGCATAGCTATTGGGGAGTACAATTTTAGACTTCAAGATGCATAATATTTAACAAACAGTTGATTGGAATATTTTCTATTTTGCTTCCATACTGATAATAGTGTCTCTTAAAGAAGATACATGAATATCTGGATCAACATATTTTGTTGTTTTTGTAAAAGATACACATTACTGGATTCCACCCTAGATCCGTTTGATTTTGGTTTCTGTGATTAGAATTGGGAAACATGCATTTCGACTATTTTTCCGGGAATATCTAAATACCACAATAATTGAGAAACTCACCAAAATGCAAGTCTAGACCTTCTTGAGTGTCATGTATTTCATCTATTCTTCTATATATTCCAAAGTTTATCCCAATAAAAGACTGTGTGTGAGTTGGGGGTAAAACTGTATCCTTGCTACTACAGACTCTTTAAGGCTTGAAGTATAGACACAAATTGTCGATTGATTTCAAAATACTAGTTTTTCTTTCTGGGAAAACTAGATTTTAAAATATTGTGTTTGCAGCAAAAATAAACATTTGTGCTACTTTTTAGAAAATCCACATCTGAGATCGATGCACAGAGATTTGGTCTGCAGTTTGGACATTTTCTCAAGCAGCCCAAGAAAAAGCACTGTTTTATATTCATTTTGTCCTCAAAGTGCTGATAAAGTAGGCTTTAATTCAAACTTGCTTCTAAAAGGCAGACCCTGGCCTGGACACAGATGTGTTTATTTTATGGTACCTAGAATCGTTGAAGACTGCTATGTTTCTGTAAGCTTAGCCTTGAAGTGAAAAAGAGAAAACTATACTGAGACAGTCACCTTCAGCACCTCTAACTTTAATAACAGAGGAAAGAGTATCAATAGCTGTGAGATCCTTGTCATTCCACTGATCAGAAAAATCCTTCCTTGCATAGTCAAAGGAGAGCCAGAAATATTTTTCCCAGAAATCCCCAAAAGGAAGAAGTTTCCATCATAATAACTCAAATAATTTGAGAAGAAAGTTATCCAGAGCACAACCCTCCAAGATGTCTACTTGGATGACATACTTCCTTTAAACTTCCTTTCACTTAACTATACTTAAATATTATTTTTTGACCATGTAAAAAGATGTTGTTGAAGATATTGTTCACTGTGTTTCATTGTCTTCTGTTAACACACAGAGAGAAGTTCACGCTGATCTTAGTTCCAGAAATAGCTATATTTTTTCTAAGCTGCTTCTAACTCAATTATTTGTTTAAAGTGTAACTCACTTCCTTGAAACACAGTCTTTTTTTTTTTTTTTTTTTTGAGACGGAGTCTCACTCTGTCACCCAGGCTGTGGTGCAGTGGTGCAATCTTGGCTCACTGCAACCTCCACCTCCCGGGTTCATGTGATTCTCCTGCCTCAGCCTCCTGAGTAGCTGGGATTACAGGTGCCCGCCACCACACCCATCTAATTTTTGTATTTTTAGTAGAGAGGGGGTTTCACCATGTTGGCCAGGCTGATCTTGAACTCCTGACCTCAGATGATCCACCCACCTGGGCCTCCCAAAGTGCTGGGATTACAGGCATGAGCCACCGTGGCTGGCCCCTATTCCTGTTTCTTAATCTTGGAGAATGGTGTAAGCAACCAAAAATGTGGTATTATTTTTCTTTGCTTCCTTCTCGTTCATCATGTTCCAAGTACAATCTATCACTATATTTTATAAATTCAACTTCTTTAATATCTTTCTATTCCCACTAAAACAGCCTTAGTTGTTTGGATTACTACAACAGCATCCCAATGTAGGTCATTGCCTCCTATCTTGTTCTACTCCAGGTAGCATATTTTGAATAATTTATCATAATATTTGGATAGTAGATTGAAATTGGGTATGTATGTGTTTGTCTCACAGATTGGACTACAAACTCTGAGAAAGTAGGTTCTGTCTCAGGAACAATAGGATTAACATAATTATTTTTCTGTCTGCATGTTAGACATTTGCAAACTCATTGTAATTTTTATGTCAATTCTACTAGTAGTAGAAAATCTCAATGATTATTTCAAGTCATAGCGTCTCCGTGAATGTATTCCATTTTGCATATTTTGGATCTTAGCTCTAATTTTCTCATGTACTCAATTATTTCTCTTGTAGGTATTTCAAGTACAAATCACTTTTGGAATTAAGAAAGATAGAAACAAATTAAATAATATAAACTAATTCAGTAGAGAAACCTGGGCTGGCAGACAACTTGTGATGTCCTTGGGGACGATCAGTTTCCTGTAAATTACATTTGAAGAAATATTAATCTTGCTCAGTGCATGTCTGTGAGGTTTTGTGTCTTTTTATACCTGTAACCTCAGAAATAGCATGCTTCAGTCCACCTCCACTATGAATACTAAAGTATTAATATGTCTACCTATAGAATACTATTTTATTTCATGGTTCACATACTCTATGGATGTGACTTTTTAAATAGTATTAGTAAATGCCATAACTGTCTTTGACCTCATCCTCTTTAAGAGACATTTCTTAAAGCACTGCTGAGAGGCATAATATTAAAAACAATATTAGAAAAATCTACTGCAGATCAGCTTACAGAATATTAAAAATATGTGAAGTTTTTCAATTCTGTAACCCACTGAATTATCTGGAGCTATTTCTGAGGCTGTTGTGAGGGGGAAAGGAGCAGATGATTGGTTGGATGGATATTCCCCACCTTTCTTGGGTTTCTGCTTCAGCCATAGCACCCTGCTCTGGGGATCTGTGGAAGGCAGATCTATGTAATTGTTAGCAGAATTTTCATTTAATGAAGTATTTCTCCCACTCTGCTTCCCAACAGAAATCTCATTGACTGTAGCCTTTATTATTTTCATCTCTTTCCCCAAGCCCTTATTTAAAGTATGCTAGTGTTTTAGTTATCATGATTAGGCCTCAGTTTTTATCTAGATTTTATCAGGATTAATCACTCTGTTCAAAGATAGATTAGTCATCTACCTGCAGAAGAGCCAGAACCTCAATATATAGTAATTATTTTTGAAAGTTACAGGTTATTCCTGTTTCACCAGTTTATACATGCTGATTGTAATTGGATTAGATTAAAACAAAGTTACAGAGAGGGAACGTTACATACAAAAGTGCTTGAAAAAACATGAAAATGAAAATTTTTAATAGTCAACTCTAATTCAATCTGTGTAGCAGATCAATCTGGAACTAGAAAAGTATAAATTGTACCCTAAGTACTTCTGATTCACTTAATCAGAAAAACTTCAAGAAGCAAATATCTCAGTATAAATTGCACTAGAGAACAGTTGTTACCAAACAGCTGGCACAATATCTAAAAAGAGTTATTCTCATTAACAAGATTTTCAATATCTACATTTTAAAACAAATGCACTTAATCTTACTCTGCATGATCACTACTACTCCATTAACTAATTTAGAAGATAAAATGTAAGAACCAGTGTTTCCTAGATGAAGCAGAACACTTCCAGAATGATGGAAAATATTCCAGTCCACTGAGTATAAAATTAGATTGTTGAATGACTGTGGCTGGCTCAGATTCTGAGGTCATGATGACTCTTCCTTATGCTAAGCAGATGAAATGTCAGAATAAAATCATAGCCTGGCTTTAGTTATGAATCTTAAATTAGGTGAGATAAAAAAACCTTTTGAAGTGTCATGTAGTATGATTTAAGTTTGTAGCTCCTTATTCTTATCCAGGGTACTGGAAATCTTATTATATACCATGAAGACAAGTTGCTAGCTAAGCTGACTTTAAATGAGCTTGTATTCACCCTTTGGGACCAGTGAAGTATCTTCTGAATACAGTTAGTTTACAATCATAAACTTGCTCTTGGATTCATATCTTGTTTTACTTTCATTGTTAATATTGTCATTGGTAGGCAGGAAACTACACAAAGCCCAATACATCATTTTGTACATAATTAAACAATTTTATTTCCTCTCCTCTATTTCACTCAACGGTAAAACACATTTAATTTTTGAGGAGGAATTCAAGAATTGATGAGTCATGAATTCAAATTTACTAAGTATTTCGTAAATTTAAAATAAAAAATTTAAACTGTGTTATCTTTGTATTTTTGATACTTGATTGTATTGTATTCTAACTCCCTAATTTCAGAAATGCTGGCTTGGAAGGGGTTCAATGTGTCAACACCAGTACACTTTGCTTAAATTTAGGCACTCTATATAAGGCAAGAGCCCATAAATTTTTTACTCAAGGTTACCACCATTACATGCTTAGCATATTTGAATTATTACTATTATTATTATCATAGATTCTTTAGTATGCTATTTCCTAGATTATAGCCCAGTGACATCATGTGTTGTTCAGTAAAACTTGGAATATTAGTACTTTTAGTAATATGGAACTTGGATCTATTTTCCCTTTTCCATGTCAAAATTTTGAGATGGATGTTTCCTGCAGAACTAATAACTTCAGAAGTCAAATTATGCACAGCACTCTTTGCATTTTTCTCTTCTATAAACTGCTAGAATATAAAAACCAGGAGTCTTCACTGACATAACTTTATATGTTATGTTCATCATTGTCTCATTTCCCTGTCTTTATCTCCCTCTCATAATATTCTATCCCTTTAAGCTGATGGAAACATATATATTTCTTCATATAAATACACATACACAGACGTACACATGCACACACATAAGCATTTTGTTTACAATCATTAATAAAACTTGCACCAAATTTGTGAGGCTCTGCTACTGCCCAGTTCTGAGTAATGAATTTATTTCATCACTCTTGGGTTCTATTTATACTGTTAACTTTGCATTATATATAGAGAGGTCAAGTCCGTTCTGGTCTTTGAATTAATTTTCAAGTTAATAGAATATTAAGCATGATATCCAACTTCACTTTTACATATCCAATTTTCCAACCCCCTCATATCTGATGAATTAATTTTAACCATTTTCTCCTATAGAAATTTAAATGTGTCTTTAGGTATTCCCTTCATGCCAATAGTTTAAATTGATTGCTTCTGTGAGTTTTTAAGGAACCTGATCAATGCTTCCATGTGACATCTTTTGAAGGTCTTTCCAGAATTTTAATGGATACCTTGATTCCAGTCAAATGTGATCCAACATTCTATCTTAGGCTTAAGGAAGATTGATGATATTTGATTATAGTATTCTGTGGGACCAAATTCTTGAAGGAATATAAAACTAGAATACTTAAGATCATAGTAACTGCTTTAAAATAAGTTCGGTTTATGTTAGATATGAAAAGAAGTAGAAAATAATAATGAATCAATAACTGTCAATTTTAATGTTTGTGTCTTTTCAAAAGTCATACATTAAAATTCAATGACTAATGTGATGGTATTATGGGGACGGATTAGTGCCTTTATAGAAGAGGCCCCAGAGAGCTGCCTTGCCAATTCTTCCATGTGTGTACACAGTGAGAGGGTGCCATCTATGAACCAAGAAGGCGGCCCTCAGCAGACTCCAAATTTGCCAGTGCCTTGATTGTCGACTTCTCAACCTCCAGAATTCTGAGAAATAAATTTCTGCTGTTTATAATCCACCCAGATTATGGTATTTAGCTATAGCAACCTTACTGAACTGAGACAATAACTCTAAAAATATTACCTTTATTTTCTAGACCATTAGTTTCTACAACCTGATTGTACAAAAAAAAATTTACCAAGGTTAGTTCTTAATAATGGTGTCTGGATCACAACATTCCTGAAACAGAATCTCTAGGGGTCTATTTTCTAAGAAGATTCCTAGATGATACTTACATAACTATTTTTTTTTTGGTTTTGTTTTGTTTTATAAAAAGGGACAAGGTATCACTGGCTAAGAATTTTATACTTAAAAGCATTTAATTACACTTCAGGATTTATTTATTACAGGTAAAGAGCTTGGAAATAATTACACCATCCTTACAACAGTAAAAGCTGGAAAAGCTGAAAACCAGTAATTTCTGGGTCCTATCAGAGAACTGAAGTTACAGAACCCCAAATCTGTAGAGAGAGGTGCATACAGAGAGATAGCAATGAAGAATGGCTTACTTGGAATAGGAGGCCCTGGGGCTATAAACTTGTTATTTAAAGAGTAATTTTGATGAATTGTCGAGTCTGGACTATTGATGAACTGTCGAGTGTGAGAGTGAGAAAGACCTCAGAACCACAGCATGGGCACTGCAAGATTTTCGGGGATATTACCTCCAAGAATA
This sequence comes from Homo sapiens, assembly GCF_000001405.40. Taxonomy (NCBI): domain Eukaryota; kingdom Metazoa; phylum Chordata; class Mammalia; order Primates; family Hominidae; genus Homo; species Homo sapiens. The sequence goes on along the minus strand of NC_000007.14, from coordinate 120,168,383 downwards.
CCACTGGTTTCTCACAGTGAAGATCCAATGATGATCTCATGGCTCTGTTAGGGAGAGAAGAGTAATCATTGTGCAATATTCCCAGAAACTTGATCATAATAAAGGCAAGTTTCCCAAGGGAAAAGACTTTGACAGAACACAGTTCTAAATCTAATACTAGTTTTATTTCAACTAAGAAGGAAGAAAGATAAAACAGCATTCTGGAACTCTGTGTCTGGAAAAAGAAGTAGACAGCAGAAAAAAATAAAAAGTTAAACCATTGGAAAAACACTTGTGAAAGTCACAGCTCTGGAAAGCAGGCCGGGAACAGCTTGGTCGGGGAGACCCTAAACCAGTGGCACTGGAGGAATTACAGACACACATACAGAAATACAGAGGTGTGAAGTGCGAAATCAGGGGTCTCACAGCCTTCAGAGCTGACAGCCCCTAACAGAGATTTACCCACATGTTTATTAACAGCAAACCAGTCATTAGCACTGTTTCTATAGATATTAAATTAACTAAAAGTATCCCTTATGGGAAACAAAGGGATGGGCCGAATTAAATGAATAGGTTGGGCTAGTTAACCGCAGGAGGAACATGTCCTTAAGGCATAAATCGATCATGCTATTGTTTGTGGCTTAAGAATGCCTTTAAGCGGTTTTCCGCCCTGGGAGGGCCAGGTGTTCCTTGCCCTCATTCCCGTAAACCCACAAGCTTCCAGCTTGGGCGTTAGGGCCGTTATGAACACGTCACAGTGTTGCAGAGATTTTGTTTATGGCCAGTCTTGGGGCCAGTTTATGGCCGGATTTTGGGGGGCTTGCTCCCAACACAGGCCACTAAAATAATCAGATTTAATTAGAAGATTAGAGAATGTTCACCCTCTACAAACATTACTAACATAACAGAGTGAAAAACGAAGAAAGAAAATAAAGTAGAAAAGAATATACAAGACCTTTGTGATGATTTCAAAAGTGTAAAAATGTGTAATTAGAATGACAGAAGATAAATTGAAAGGAACTGAAGAAATATTTGAAATTATAACAACTGAGACAGAGACCAAAACACAGATTCAAGAAACTAGACAAATCCAAACAGAATAACTACTGAGAAAAAACAAGCTGCAGCTACACATTTTATATTTAAGCTGCAGAAAACCAAAGATAAAGAGAAATCTTGAAACAATCCAGAAGGAAAAAAGGTCACCTTACCTACTGATGAACAAATATAAGAATTACAGTAGATGACTCATTAGAAACCATGGAAGAAAGAATAGAGTGGTGAAAAATACTTAAATATACTTTAATGTAAATATATTTAGAGTATTTTAAAAAATTTACATCCATTAAAATTATTCTTCAAATGTAAAAAAAGACATAATTTTTTTTCATGTATTGAGTGTTCATTTTCAACCAGATCTTCCCTGCAAAAAAATTTAGTAGATATTCTATAGGCAGAAAGAAAAGAATGTAAGCCACAAACTTGGATCAAGCAGAGAGAAAGAATAGTAAGAAAAAATAAAAGATCAATTATATTTATTGATCTTAAAAGTAACTGCTTTCTTAAAGTAATAATATTAACAAAGTTTTGGGAATTATACAGATAAGTAAAATGAATAACATTGATATAGTTTGGATCTTTGTCCCCTCCAACTCTCATGTTGAAATGTTATTTCCACTGCTGGAAGTGGAGCCTGATGGAAGGTGTTTGGCTCATGGGGGCAGGTCTCTTATGAATGACTTGGTACCCTCTTCATGGCAATGAGTGAACTGTTATTCTGTGAGTTCATGAAAGATTTGGTTGATTAAAAGTGAGTGGCACCTCCTCACCTCTCTCTTGATCTCTTTCTCACCATGTGAAGCACCTGCACCCCCTTTACTTTCTACCATGAGTGGAAGCTTCCTGAGGTCCTCTCAAAGGCAGATGCTGTTGCCATGCTTCTTGTATAGCCCATAGAACTATGAACTAGTTAAACTTCTTTTCTTTGTTAATTACCCAGTCTCAGGTATTCCTTTTTGGCAATGGAACAGACTAATACAAACAGCAATGTCAGAAGGAACAAGAGGGAACAATTGAGAATTCTCTATTACAGTATATCTGTGCTACATTTAAAATGATATATGATTTGAAGATAGATTTAGAATGTGTGTCAAAACTCTACAGCAACAAATAATTTTTGAAAGGCAAAATAGCTGATGTGCTTAGAGAGATCTTATAAAATGCTAAATTAAAAAAAAAACAACAGAAAAGGCAGATAAGGAGAAAGAAAAGGGAAAAAAGAAACAAATGTGACCAATAGACAACAAATACTGTATGTATTAATCCAACTATAATAATTACTCTAAATGTTAGTGGTCTAAATACACCAATTAAAAGACAGATTACTAGAGTTGATAAAAAATCAAGATCCAACATGTATTTCCTGAAACTAACTCACTTTAGATTCAGGGACACAGATATATGGGTAACAAAGGGATAGAGAAAGATACACCACATAATACTAGTCAAAATAAAGCTAGTTCAGCTATATTTTATTCAGTCAAAGCAGACTTATGAACAAGAAAGATTACTGAGCATTTCATAATGATAAATTGTTTAATCACTTAAGATGAACATTTTAAATGTGTATGAACCAAATAAAAGAGCATCAAGGCACATGAAGAAAAACTGATAGAATTACAAGGAAAATACGTGTTTACTATTTCAGTTGGAGGCATTGATAACACTTATTCAGTAATTGATGGATCAAGCAGAAAGAAAATCAGTAGTATACAGTTGACCTTAACAGCACTATAGATACATTTGATATAATTGACATGTATAGACCGCTCCATCCAACAAACCTTCCAGTGCCCTGATTTTGCAGGAGTTCCCAATCTGCAAAACTGTGAGAAATAAATTTTTCTATTGTTCATAAACTATGCACTCTGTGATACTTTGTTATAGCAGCCCAAATAGACCAAGACAGGAATTGGTACCAGATGTGGGGCGTTACTAAAACAAATACCTAAAAAATGTGGAAGTGGCTTCAGAACTGGGTAATGTGTAGAGGCTGGAAGAGTTTGGGGATGCATGCTCAAAAAAACTGCATTCTGATAAGGGCTCAGAAGAAAATGAGAGCTATAGACAGAGTCTTAATCTTCTTAGAGATGACTTAAGTGGTCATGATCTGATGTTGGTAGAAATAACAGTAAAGGTCATTCTTACGAGGTTTCGGATGGAAATGAGGCACATCTTATTGGAAACCAGAAGAAAGGCCATCTTTGTTATAAAGTAACAAAGAACTTGGCTGCATTGTGTCTATGACCTACTTCCTGCCTTGCGGAAGGCAGAACTTGTGAGTGACAAACTAAGATATTTTGCAGAAGTATATAAAAAAGTGTTGAAGGTGATGCATGGCTTCTCCCCTTGAAATAAAACCTTTCTTCTACTTGAAATAAAACCAAGAAATAAACAAATTAAAGATGAAATTTATAATCAAGAGGAAAGCAGAACTAAAATATTTGGAAAATTCTCAGCCTGGCCATGTAAAGTATAAAAATCCTAATTCTGGTAAAAAAAAAAAAAAAAAAAAAAAAGAAAAATGCCAAGGGTGTGGATAAGTGAACAATTTGATAGGGAGATTATTATGATAGAAGAAAGCTAGATATTATTCATCAGAACAATGGAAGAATGACCCTGAAGGCATTTTAGAAATATTTGAGGCTGCCACTACCATCATGGGCCCAGAATGCCAGGGCCTTGATAGGAGAGGTTTCAGGGGAGGGGCCTAGGGCACACTTTGGATGTCGAGGCTTGCAGCCCAGCTCGGCTCCAAGTTTCTGCCCTTCACATTTCAGCACTGTGCTCCTTGGCCACCTCAGCTGTAGCTCAAATGCACCCAGCTGCAGCTCAGACCACCACACCAGAGGTACAATCTTTAATCCTTGCAGCATCCACATAGTGCTAACTCTGAAGGTGCACAGAGCATCCAAGCTGTGGAGGCATGGTTGCCTCCCCCTCGATTTTAAAGGATGCATAGGAGAGCCTTGGTGTCTAGGCAAAGAACCACCACACGGGTTGGGCCACTGTAGAGAGAATCTTCACTAAGACAATGCTGAATAGAACTGTGGGGTTGAGGCAACCCCCAAAACCCCAGGACGGTAGAGCCACCAGTGTGCAATGCCAGACTGGGAGAGCCATAGGCACTGGACTCCAACTTGTTAGCTGCTGTGTGAGTTGCATGCAGCAAAGCCATGGACACGGGGCTTCCCAGGGCTTTGAGGCCCCAACTCTGTTCAGAAAGCAGGACATCAAGTCAAAGAAGATTTTCAATCCTCAAGATTTAATGTCTACTTTGTTGTGTGTTGAACTTACTTGTGGCCTGTTACCCATTTCTTTTTGCTTATTTCTCCCTTTTGGAACAGAAATGTCTATCCTATGCCTGGGCCACCATTGTATTTTGGAAACAATAACTTGTTTGATTGTACACATTCGTAGCTGGAGAGAAATTTGCTTAGTATAAATTGTACCTTTAGTCTCACCCATATCTGATTTAGATGAGATGCTGGGCTTAGACTGTTGAGTTCATGCTGGAACAAATGAAGACTTTGGGGGTTATTGGGATGGAATAAATATGTTTTGTATGTGAGAAGGATACAAATTTTGGGGAGCCAAAGGAGAAATGCTATGGTTTTATTGTTTGTGTCCTCTTCGAAACTGAAACCCCAATGCAGCATTACTGAAGAAGTGAGGCCTTGCAGGCAATTGAGCCGTGGATGTTCTGCCTACAGGAATGGAATTAGCAACCTTATAAAAAGGCTGAATGGAAACTAGCTAGGCTCTTCTTGCCCTTCTGCTTTCCACCATGTGAGGACACTGCCTTTAAGGCACCATCTTAAAGCGGAGTGCAGCTCTCACCACACACTGAACCTGCTGGTGCCTTGATCTTGGACTTCTCAGCTTCTAGAACCGCAAGATATAAATTTCTGTTATTTATCATGTAGGGCAGTTTAATGTTTTCCCTGAATATTTGATCATTTGAGTTTACAAAAGAAACAGAACAGATTAACAGGTAAAAGGCATACACAGTTATTAATGTGCATACACATGAATGGAAGCCATACAAAATAAGAAAACGCAGAGAAAGGGCCAGATGGTTGATGTTTTTATACTGTCTTGAGGTTACAGAAAGAATAGGGGCTTGGAGCAAGGCAAGACAAGTTATGAAAGGGAGCAAGAAAGAAAGGCATAGAGCAGAGGTCTTGCTGTGCAGATAAAACCTCACAGATAGAAACTCTCAGAAAGAATACAGGGTAGCCTGTGGGATAAGTTTCTCTGTTAGACTTTCAAAGGTGTCGGACTCTCAGTTAATCTTTCCTAGATCCAAGAAGGGTCCTCAAAGAAAGCCAGTTTGCATCTGCTATTTATCTCACTTTATTTCCTCTACAGATGCAAATCTCCCTCTCAGAAGAGTAGCTTTTTAGGGCTGTTTTTGTGTTTGCAGTCCCTCTAAATAGCCGTCTCAAAATATGTCAAAAATATGTATTTTGGGATGAAACATTTTTGGTTTTCTTCAATAAATTACCCAGTTTGTGGTATTTTACAATACCAGCACAAAGGGACCAAGACAATAGGTTTATTCTACCAAAATATATACAATGGGGTCTTTATGTGGAAATGTACACATATTTGATTAAATAAAGATATAAACAAATGAAGAGATATTTTATGTTCATAGATTGGAGGCCTGGTGCCAGTTATTCCCAAGTTGATCTATGGACTCAATGCAATACCAGCCAAAATACCTGCAAAATATAGATATTGACAAATCAATTCTAAAATTTATATTGAAAAGCAAGCATTCTAAAAAGCACTAGAGAAAGAGAAACAGTTCTTCCTAGAACATAGTTGGACAACTCACAGTAATTGATTCTAAGACTTACCCTTAAGCGGCAGTATTCAACATAGCATGGTATTGACGAAAGAATACTACTGTTGAAATAACTCGGTGCTTTCCTTTTTAACAAACAGTGCTGAAGCAATTGGACATTCATCATAAACAACCAACCAAGCAAACAAACAAACAAAAAATATAGACACAGACCTCACATCTCCCCTACTTAAATGTAAAATGCTGTATTTAATACTGTAAATATTCTAAAAGAAAATATAGGAGAAAATTCAGGTGACCTTGGGTGATGAATTTTTTAAAACAACCATAAGGACAATCCATTAAAGAAGGAATAGATAAGTTGAACTTTATTAAAATTCAAAACTTTCGCTGTTTGAAGGACACTTTCACAAGATAAAAAAGACAAGTCACAGACTGGGAGATATATTTGAGAATCATGTATCTCATAAAGGAACTGCATCCAAAATATACAAAGCATCTTAATCTCAAAATAAGAAAATGAACAACCCAATTTAAAAATGAGCAAAAGATCTGAAAATATACTTCACCAGGAAGATATACAAGTGGAAAATAAGCATATGAAAAGTTCAACCCTTGTGATACTGTAAAATACATATATTTAGTTTTCAGCCCCATTTCCTTGCATATAAAGCCTAAAATACTGAGAATATCAAGTATAAGTTTACTGGTGGCTGACAGCTTCTAGGTAGCTACAGGATAAGGGTTGGTCCCCATTTTCTCCTCCCATTCTCCAGAGAGGGTAAAGGAGCTGAAGGTTAAGTTATCACCAATGTCCAATGTTTTAATCAATCATAGCTACATAATGATGTCTCCATAAAACCCCCAAAGGGTAGAGTTTGGAGAGCTTTGCAATAGCTGAATACATGGAGGTTCCTGTAGGATGGCATACCTGGGGAGGGCAGGAAGCTTTGTTACCTTTCCCATACTTTATCCTAAGTATTTCTTCATCTATATAATCCATCTGTAAAATCCATTATAATAATCCAGTAAGCATAAGTACGTGCTTCCCTAAGTTCTGTGAGCCACTCTAGTAAACTAACCAAACCCAAGGAGGGGTTTGTAGGATCCCCACTTTATAGCTAGTTGGTCAGAAGCACAGGTAAAACAACCTAGGACTGTGGTTAGCACCATAAGTAGGGGCAGGCTTGAGGACTGATCTCGCATCTTGTGACATTTGACACTATGTCAAGGTAGATAGCATCAGAACTGAATTGAATTAGAAGAGACTCAGATGGTGTTCACTGCGGAATTGATTGCTTGTTGATGAGGAGAATTCCCCACACATGTGGTCACAGAAGTCTTCTGTGTTGATCGCTGTGCTGTGAAAGCACAGGAAAAACAATTTGTGTTTTTTCTACAAACAATCCCATTTGTCACTAGGTAGTTGCAAATCAAGACAGCAAGGAAATGTCATTCCATACCTATTAAAATGGCTAAAATAATAAAAACCTGTCTCCACCAATAGTGAGCAAGAATGCTGAACAACAAGAATGCTCATTGCTGATGGACATGCAAAAAAGCACAGACATATTGGAAGGTGGTTTGACAGTTGTTCATAAAGCTAGGCATTGGGTTACCATGTGATCTTACCAATTGAATGCCTATGTATTTACCAGACTGAATTAGAAATATAGGTCCCCACAAAAACCTTCACATAGATGTTAATAGCATCCTTGTTCATAATCGCCAAACCTGGAAGCAACCAAGATATACTTCAGTAGGTGAATAGGTAACCAAACTGTAGAACAATCATACAATGAAATACTATTTACCAGTAAAAGAAAATAAGCTAGCCAGATATGCAGAAACATGGAAGAAACTTAAATGAATTTTGCTTAAAGAAATAAGTCAGTCTGAAAAGGCTACATAGTTCAGGCTTTTGTTTATATGATGTCTTAGATCATTCAGTCTCCTATAATAAAATACTGTAAACTGGGTGGTTTATAAACAACCGAAATTTATTTTTCACAGTTTGAGAGGCTGGCACGTTCAAGACCAAGTGCCAGCAGATTCAGTGTCTGCTGAGGACCCACTTCCTGATTCATTGATGGCTGTCTTTTTTTGCATTGTCCTTATATGGTGGAAGAAGAGTGGAATCTCTCTGTGGTCTCTTTTATAAGGTCACTAATCTCATTTATGAGGGTGGATGACCTAATCAGCTTCCAAAGTTCCCATCTTTTAATACCATCAACTTGGGGGTTAGTATTTCAACAATAGAATTTTAAGAGAACACAAATATTCAGACCAAATCATATGACATAGTGAAAAAGCAAAAATAAACATGGTAAAAAAGATCACTGCTAGCCAGGGTTTGCAGGGAGAGAGAGTTGAATATGTAAACCACACGGGATTGTTTAGGGCTTTAAAACTGCTGTATATGATACTGTAATTGAGGACACATGGCACTATAATTTGTTGAAACCCATGCATTATATAGCATAGAGTGGACCTTAATGTATGAAAATGACAAATGAATATTTATGTAGTTGGGAGATCCCAGGATAGAATGCAGACAATGAAAAAAATCTGATGTTATTGCATATGTATAGAATAATCTTACCTAATGGAGTCAGGGGAAAATGGTGCTGACCTAAGTCACTTTGGAAATGATGGAGATAGTCAGATTAAAAGGTACAATATATAAGCATTATAGTCTAGTTAACAAAGTTGTTTCCAGTAAGACTATTGGCTAACAAGTCTGAAACCGCTAGATCTGTATACCAGAATTGAAAAATGGATGGTGAATGAGAAGAGTTTTCTCAATGTTAGAGTGGAAGTTTACAATAAACAGTAAGCCTGGGATGATCCATGTGGTAAGTGATTTGACTTACGGGCATCATTATGAACTCATATCTAGCTTAATGCAGGCACGGATCCACAAATAGAGTAGTAGTATTATTATTTTGAGACGGAGTCTCACTCTGTCGCCCAGGCTGGAGTGCAGGGGCACGATCTCGGCTTACTGAAACCTCCGCCTCTTGGGTTCAAGCGATTTTCCTGCCTCAGCCTCTCTAGTAGCTGGGACTACAGGCACGTGCCACCACGCCTGCCTAATTTGTTGTATTTTTAGTAGAGACGGGGTTTCACCGTGTTAGCCAGGATGGTCTAGATCTCCTGACCTCGTGATCTGCCCGCCTCGGCCTCCCAAAGTGCTGGGATTACAGACGTGAACCACCGTGCCCATCCCAAATAGAGTACTATGTATAGATACGTGCATGTACACAGGTTAGTGTATATATGTACATGTATCCTCTTGTCTGTAAGCTAAGAGAGTATAGAAGTAATGGCATCTCAGCAGCAATGCACTATGATGACACACACTACTTAGAAACGAAGATTCAAGATCTTGAATTTTCGTTTCTAATGGCATGTGCAATTAAAAAAAATTAAACAGGTCTCTTTGGAGAAACATTACTTTTAATAGCAAAAGCCACAATTACACCAACGTAATTTGGTGTACACAACACAAAATTACACAATTTTACACCAACGTAATAGCTAGTTCTAGGACTACGGCAGGAAATATGCAAGATAGTCTTGATATATCTTATAGTGACTAAATGTAATAAAATACTAAAAAAAAAAAAAATACAATTCTGGAAGTATGTTGAAGAGATACCATAGTCAAATGTAAGAGATTTTATTAGTTAAAACTGAAAAATTCAATCAACAAAATAAAGTTGTATTGGATCAAAACTTAGAGTATAAGATAAATATCCATGAGTCCATACCGATGTAAATAATTAAATAAATAAATAAAAGGAGACAAAAAACAAATCTCCCTTGCAGAAGAATTCCAATTACTTAATGTAGACAGTGCCCTAAAGGAGGTTAATCTTCACTTCCCTCTCCTGAAACATGGTCTGTACATTGTGACTTTCTTCAGAAGAGCACAGGTATGAAATGAGAAAAACAGTTCCTTGGAGAAACCTGAATTCTGCAAAATACCTGACCAGTATACTTAAAATTGTCAAGATCATCAAAAACTAGGCAAGTCTGAGAAAATTTCACTGCCAAGAAGAGCCATAAGGGACTAGCCAACAAAACAAATGTGATATTCTGGATGGAAACCAGGAACAGAAAAATAACATAGGTAAAAACTAAAAACATCTTAATAAAGAATGAACTTTTAGTTCATAAGAATGGATCAATACTGTTTCATTAATTGTGATAAATGTATGATACTAGCTTAAGATGTTAGTAACATAGGAAATGGGATAGAGCATATGAAAACTATCTTCACTACACAACTTTTCTGTAAATCTAAATATTTTGAATTTTTTAAAATTAACAAAAGTAGTTTGGAATTATGTAATTGTTCTACTTCTCAATTCAATGTTAACCTCATTTTTGATTAACAAATTTATTACTTTTTAATTATCTTGAAATGTATAATTATTTTGATGTTTGCTCGCTACCATTTAGTTAAGGGTCCTTCTTTGAGACTTTACTGGTAGATTTAGAAATGTTAAGCACCCCCATATTTATTTTATTAAAAATTATGTCTAAATTTGAAATTCAATTTTTTTAAAAAAGTGGGCATTCATAACTGAGAACTTGATTTATCTCAGAGATTGTCCTTAGAAATTACACTTTAATATCTTTCTTCTAGAGGAAACCAGACTGAAGATTCAATAAGTAAGATACCCTGTCTGGATAACACAGCTAGTTAGTAGCAGAGCTTAGATTACAATAAAGATCTCTGAATTTACAGTTCTGTGTTTCTTTCACTTCACAACATTGCTAATTTTCTTTCTTTATCTTTGGTCCTGCTCCTCCAGGTGTAGGTATAAATTAAGATAATTCCTCCAATTGTATTCTGGCATAACTGGAAATAAATTAGAATGAAATCTGAATAATCTAAATGTCATTCTAAAACATTTAAAGATATGGAATATTTCTTGAAATATACTGCATTTTAAAATGTTTAGAAATTAATTTTTTCAGACATCTCACACCTTTTTGAAAAGAAAATATATATGCATTTCATTTTTATGGCATCTTCTTTTTATAGTAAATCATTGCAGTACAGGCTTGATATTTTTATCTGTGAAATATTACAGGTGATTTTAACCAAAGGATGGCCCATATGTAGCACCTGTACTGACCTAATCGACAGTTACGGCTCATTTGTAAGTTTTATAACCTAAGGGTTTAATATTTCACTGCAAGGACTCTAATATGCTTTGGCATAAGAAAAATCTATGGAGGAGTCAGATGAGTTTTTATAGATTATTAAGTAAATAACACTCATTTAAAATAATATGCATTTCAGTACCAGGAGATTATGTAAAGTTAGAGATCCCTTTAAAAAAATGCTTAAATTGCTGTCATGTTTATCATTTTTAGTAATAGTTCTGTTTTGTAAGAAGTTAAAAATTGCATACTGTAAATTGTTGTTGAGCATATTTGCTTAAGAAAAAGAATGTTGAGACCATTTAACCTCTATTGCCTCATCAGTGTCTCCACTTCTTTTAAATTACATTCATTATTATAATAAACATTTCATACAAAATATTCAATGGGTGACAAATTATTGCTTTTATAAGTAGCATAATATAACAAAGCATTTAATTTTGAATGTTGTTTTTCTAGTTACTTATACTGCCTCTGGCAATTTCATCAACACATTCTACCTTTTATTATTTATATCATGTACATAATGCTATTTATGAGAAATAGAACTTTTTTCAAGTATATTCACTTTAGGGCATGATTTAGAATACTCCTATTAGGGTAATGTCAAGCAACTCTCATGTTATTAAGTGGCCCTTCCTGACAAAACGTTTTAAAATATTTCTCTGCCTAACCACAGCACATTGACCTACTTAGCACTGTATTACACAGCACATTACCTACTTAGCACTGTATTCTACAGAATAATTTGTGTGGGTCACAAATTATTCTGTAGAAGCAGTTGCTCCAAATTGATGCAGATTTGTTTTTCAGACAATCTTTATATTTTCTTTGAAATAGTATCTCCATCAGTGCATAGTCTGGGAATAATTCCATTTGATTTTTTAAAAATCCAAGCATATGCAAAACATATGATGTTTTTGTGATGTTGTATGCAAAAGATATGATGTTTTCTGAGAAATTAGAAGGCAGATTTTGGAAGGAATTCTTTCTCAGTGAGGCAGGAAGACAGGGATGATGAAAGAGACTACAGGATAAGCAGTCTTACAGTTGCTTGTCTCGGTTGTCTAGAAGAAAGCAAAGACTACGGAAATTCACTTGTAAAGAAAGTTGCTGCTACCTGGAACATGGCATTTATGGAAAGCTCCATCCAACAGTAGCAGACCACCCATTATTCTCAAGCTCGCATGAAACATTCACCATGACTGACCACATTCTAGGCCATAAAACACAGCTTAATAAATTTTAAATAATATAAATTATACAAGGGATGTTCTCATAACACAATGAAATTAAATTAGAAGTCAATAACAGAAAAATAGCTAGGAAATTCCCACATATTTCATGATTAAACAACCTGAATAAAGGAGGCGATCTTGTCATTTTCATGAAACTGGAGGACATTATGAAATAAGCCTGACATAGAGATAAGCTAGACACAGAAAAATATTACATAATCTTGCTTATATGTGGAATAAAAAAGTCAAATGTATAGAGATAGAGAATAAAACATATAAATACGATTCTTACATGTAGAAATATATATAAATATTTGTATACACCTGGGTAATCATAGGCGGGTACATTTTTTGCCCTATGAGTCTAGAGAGCCTAGCAGTGACCCTCAACATCAACAAGCATACATAGCAGCCAGATTTTGGGTTTTGATACCATTCTGCAGTAAAGGGACCCAGATTTATTTGGAGAAATGGCTGATTCTAGGATTGTGACAGGAAATACACAAAATTAGCCTGGAATATCTTGTAGTGCCAGAAAATAAGAAAGTGCAATTTTTTTTTTTTTTTTTTTAGTTTACTTCTTCTTCTAAAAAAAGTGGGATACATGTACAGAACATGCAGGTTTGTTACGTAGGTATATGTGTGCCATGGTGGTTTGCTGCACCTATTGACCCATCCTGTAAGTTCCCTCCCCTCACCCTGCCACTTCCCAGCAGGCCCTGGTGTATGTTGCTCCCTGTCTGTGTCCATGCATTCTCAGTGTTCAACTCCCACTTATGAGTGAGAACATGTGATGTCTGGTTTTCTGTTCCTGTGTTAGTTTGCTGAGGATGATGGCTTCCAGCTTCATCCATGTCCCCTGCAAAGGACATGATCTCATTCTTTTTTATGACTGCATAGTAATCCATGGTGTATATCTGCTACATTTTCTTTATCTAGTCTATCACTGATGGACATTTGGGCTGGTTCCATGTTTTTGCTATTGTAAATAGTGCTGCAGTAAACATATAGGTGCATATGTCTTTACAGTAGAATGATTTATATCCCTTTGGGTATATACCCAGTAATGGGATTGCTGAGTCAAATGATATTTCTGGTTCTAGATCCTTGAGGAATCACCATACTGTCTTCCACGATGGTTGAACTAACTTACATCTCACCAACTGTATAAAGGCGTTCCTATTTCTCCACAGCCTTGCCAGCATCTATTGTTTTCTGACATTTTAATAATCGCCATTCTGACTGGCATGAGATGGTATCTCATTTTGGTTTTGATTTGCATTTCTCTAATAACCAGTGATGTTAAGCCCTAGAAGAAGACCTAGGCAATACCATTCGGGACATAGGCATGGAAAAAGACTTCATGACAAAAATGCCAAAAGCACTTGCAACAAAAGCCAAAATTGACAAATGGGATCTAATTAAACTAAAGAGCTTCTGCATAGCAAAAGAGACTATCATCAGAGTGAACAGATAACCTACAGAATGGGAGAAAATTTTTGCAATCTATCTGACAAAGGTCTAATATCCAGAATTTACAAGGAACTTAAACATATTTACAAGAAAAAAACAACCCCTTCAAAAAGTGGGCAAAGGAACAGACCCTTGTCAGAAAAAGACATTTACTTGGCCAGCAAACATATGAAAAAAAGCTAAACATTGTTATTGCTGGTGGTCAAAGGGACATAGGAGCTACCTGAAAGCCCCTCCAATGGCTGAAAGTCTCCCCCAATCTGAAACCATTTGAACCACAAAATAAATGTATTAGTATTGGATTATAAACTCAAGCTTTAAAGTAAATATCTGTGAGTCTACACTGATATAGATATCAGTGATTTTGATATAAATCAGTGATATCTATATCTAAAAGTAAATATTATAATATTTCAATGTAAATTATTATAATATAATATAATATTATGTATATTTAGATATAGATACCACTGATTTATAATATTGTATTATAAATATAGATATATCAGTGATTTATCTAAATCAGTATAGACTCATGGATATTTATACCTTGATATAATAGGTATACTTGATATAGTTATCAGTGATTTAGATTTAGATATCATTTATATAGATAAATCATGGTTATTTACTTTATACCTTGAGTAAATGAAACAAGGAGAGTAAATGAATGAATCATTTATCTATATCAATAAGATGGAAGAGACACTCTCCTTTGCAGAACAATTTCAAATAATTTATATAAATAATCCATCTTCAAGTGGGATACGGGGGCATAAATCCCTACTCGTTAGGTGTAGTCTGCACATAACGGCTTCCATACAGAAAGCATAGTATGGGAAGTAGATAAAAACTTTATGAGAGATAAACTTGACAAATACTACTTCAGATAGATGATCATGGTCAATGTCAGCAGTAGATAAATCATGTTGTCAGTATGTACTCTTGGTATGATGAGAAGATAATGACATTTTGTTTCTGTAATCTTCCTCTGCTAAATCCATAACCCTATGCTAACCATGAGGAAACATGAGATAAATTTCAGTAGAGGGACTTACCTAGTAATCCTCCAAACATTTAAGGTAGCAAAAATAAGGAGAGTAAAAATCTATCACAGCAAGGAGGAGTCATGACAACTAAATGTAGTGTGTTATCCTATATGGGATCCTGAAGCAGAAAAGTAAATTAGATTAAAAAAAAAATACTGACTAAAGCACAGACCTTAGTTAATAATAATGTATCAGCATTGGTTCATTAACCATAAACAATCACCATAAGAGGTCAATAATAGGGAAAACTTGGTGAGAAGATATATGGAAACTTTATGGATAACTTTTAAAATTTTTCATTAAATCTAAAATAATTAAAAACTCAAGCCTGTTTAAAAAATATAATCTGAAGATATTCAGGTAGAAATACAGAAGTAAATAAGTGAAAAAGTGCCTTTCTTATTCTCAAATTAGAAGTTAATAGACAAGGTCTAGAATTAGAAAGTTATGTGTATTGTGAATGTTAAATTAAAGATATAAAAGGAATGAAAGAATGAAAAACCTTCCAAAATCTCAGATAAAATACACATACAAAATTATTACAGAAAAGCAGACTAGATTTGAATATTTATAAATAGAATAAAAACAAAAGCAGAGCATAAAAATGATAGTAAGACCAAATATATTTGTTCTATCAATAAATACAACTGTAATTTCATAAGTGCATTTTTAATGAGTAAAAGCTGCTTATTTCAATTTTATGGTTTTTAAAAAGGGATATAACTATAAATGGTCTGAAGAATTTGAAAATAAAATTAATGGCAAAAATACCAAAAAGATGAAGAACCTTGGTCATAATGTCAGAGTCAGACTGTTCTGAATTAAATTTAAATGGCATTAAATACCCAAGAAATGGATAGTTTATAATGATAAAATTTCCATCTGCAATAAAATAGGCAACAATTTTGGCTATTCATACACTGAATAATAGCTTCAGTATTTATAAGGCAAGAATTTTATAAATTTTAGAGTATTAAAAAATTTTAATTGAATATTTCAATAACATCTTAACAAATCTTATTTTTAGATAAACATCTTAATTATACCTTATCATATTTTGGTTATTTGTATTTCACTTTTGTATTATAAATTCCACATATACAATTATGAATTATATATATCCTGAAAACATATATTTTCTTTAAGGTGCTAGGATGGCATATTCTCCAAAGGAAAAAACAAAACAACAACGAAAACCTCTCATGTTGCATCTCTTCAAAAAAACTTAATGTATTACAAATATTTGCAGACAAATTTTGCATCTGAAAAAGAATAATAAATACTTTGAAATCTCTTTTAAATTATATGTCAAATACAAAATCAAAGTGTAAAACTGCATATTAAATTTGAATGGAATAGATAACCTTTGAGAAAAATAAAAATTCCCAAACTGACCTCAGAGGAGATAGAAAAGTTTAAAGACTTTTGATTCATAGAAGAAATAAATTTGACAAAGATAGACTACTCATAAATGACCAGGTCTAAACATTTTAATTGATATTTTATGAATATAAAAGTATATAAATGTAAAGAAAATATACAAGAAATGCCATGCAGTCATAAACCAGCTTAAGAAATAAAATATTAGTTGTAGAGGTTCATAGAATGTGTGGGAAAATGAGAGTAAAAGGTTTAAGACTCTAATTTGGGAAAATAGCAATACTCTCTGGGATTTCCATGACCACATATAAAGAAATCATAGACATATTTAGTTTTTGAGACCAAACTGGTGGAATATCCCAGCTTGGCAACATATGTGATGGTGACCTTACCTTGGTAATTTAAATTCATGAATGGCTTCCAGGGAAGAATGAGTTGTTGACTTGCTCTTGAAATACAGGTGAAGTACCACAGGATGGAGGGCCTCATATGAGTGAGTTTAAAGTTACTGAGATAGGAGATAATGAGTGGGAAGGTCATAGAGGGTAGAATGGCAAGCCCAACAATTAACTTGTAAATGTCAAGGAATTTGTTCATATCTTCTAAGTTGTCAAATGTGTGAGTATAATGCATTTATAGCAGTTCCTTACTCTCTTTCTAATGGCTGCAGGATTTACAGTAATATCCCCTTTTTCATTCCTGATATTAGTGATATGTCTTCTTTTTTTCTTAGTATTTCTAGAGTTTGTCAATTTTAGCAATATTTTGAAGAAAAAGAATCTGTTTTGCTGATTGTCTGTATTGTTTTTTCTTTTTAATTACATTGATTTTCTGTTTTCTTGTGTATTATTTCCTTGCTTCTGCTTACTTCCTTTTTCTAGTATTTTGAGGTAGACATTTAGGTTATTGATTTGAAACTTTTTCTTATTTAGTTTTTGTAAAATAAATTTTAATGTGTATATTTAAGGTAAACAACATAATGTTATGATATATATATAGTAAATGGTTACAATAGTAAAACAAATTAACATATTCATCACCTGAAATAGTTACCCATTTTTCCCCTATGGAAAGAACACTCATAATCTACTAATTTAGCAAACATCCTGAATACAATACACTATTATTAACTATAATTCTTGTGTTGTACATTAGGTCTTTAGACTTACTCATCATAAATATGTTCTACTTTGAATTCTTTGAAGTGCATCTCCACATCTGCTTCTTCCTAAACCACCCCTGGTAACCACTGTTTTATTCTCTATCACTGTATATTCAACTTTTAAAAAAAATATTTCACATATAGGTGAGATCATGCAATACTTTTCTTTCTGTGTCTGGTTTATTTCATTTACTGTAATGTCCTCCAGTTTTATCCATGTTGTGGCAAATGACAGTATCTGCTTCTTTTTTAAGGCTAAATAATATTCTATTGTGTCTGTGTACATGTATATGTATATATATGTTTGTATATATAATATTTCATCATATACATATATATATGAATATTATTTAGCCCTTAAAATTAAGGCATATATATCACAGTCTTATTCATTTATCTGTTGATGGACACTTAGGTTGTTTTCATACTCTGGCTATTGTGAATAATGCTGCAGTGAACATGAGAATATAGATGTCTTTATAAGGTGATGATTTCATTTCCCTTGGATATATACCCAGAAGAGGAATTGCTGGCTCATTTCTAATGTAGACATTTAGTGCTATAAATTTTCCTCTCAGAACTGCCTAAGCAGTGTCTCACAGATTTGGATGTGTTTTGGTTGGATTTTTATTCATTCAATTATTGAGTAAAACTTTCTAGAGATTTCGTTTTTTAAAAGTGTGTTGTTTAATTCCATTGTATTTAGAAATTTTCTCCTTGACTTTTGATTATTGAGTCCTAGTTTAATTCCATTTTGATAAGATAACATACTGTGTATGATTTCAATTACTTTTAATATAGTGGTTTTTTTTCTATAGGTATGAATATACAGAAACCAAAATAAAATCACAGTATTACTTATAATTGTTCCAAAAAAGTAAATATTTAAGTAGACACAAGAAAATCTGTACAGGGTCTATGTATCTAAAATTACAAAATGCTGATGAAAGAAATCAAAGACATGAATAAATGGAGTCATGTAACCTTCATGGATTCAAAGATTCAACATAATAAAGATATCTCTTTTCCCCAAACTGGTCTTTAGGTTTAATGCAATTTCTGTGGAAACCCCTGCAGTCTGTTTTTAATATACAGAGTTGCTTCTTCTAACATATATACAAAAAGGGCATAGACCCTAAAATAGACCAAACAATCATTACAAGGTAGAATAAAATGGAAGAAATCATTCTATCTTAAGTTAACTTTTACTATATAGCTATAGTCATCAAGATTATTGCCAGGGAGTAGACACATAGATCAATGGAACAGAAAATGGAACCAGAGGCCAGTGCGGTGACTCATGCCTGTAATCCCTGTACTTTGGGAGGCCGAAGCAGGTGGATCATGAGGTCAAGAGATCAAGACCATCCTGGCCAACACAGTGAAACCCCGTCTCTACTAAAAATACAAAAATTAGCTGGGCATGGTGGCGCCTACCTGTAGTCCCAGCTACTTGGGAGGCTGAAGCAGGAGAATTGCTTGAACCCGGGAAGTAGAGGTTTCAGTGAGCCAAGATTGCACCATTGCACTCCAGCCTGGGCAACAGAGCGAGACTCCATCTCAAAAAAAAAAAAAAAAAGAAGAAGAAGAAAATAGAACCAAAAATAGACCCACACCAATATGCCCAATTGATTATTGAAAAAGGAGCAAAAGCATTTCAATGGAGGAAGAACGTTCTTTCTAGAAATGGTACTGAAGGAATTGGATATCAATAGGGAAAAATGACAATAAAATAAAATGACCTGAATTTAAATTTCACACCTTATGCAAAAGTTAACTCAAATGGGATTACAGACTAAATGTAAAACGTAAAGCTATCAAATTAACAGGAATAAAATCTTTGGGATTTTATTCCCAAATAAAGATTTAGAGAAAATTTTTATTTCTAAATAGAGATTTAGAAAAAATCTTCAGGATTGAGGTCTAGAAAAAAAGTCCTTGGACTTGAAACCAAAAGCATAATTCATAAAAAGTTGAATTTATTAAATTAGACATATTCAAAATTAAAATGGCTTGCTTTGTGAAAGGCCATGTGAAGAAGACTAAAAGAAAAGATGCAGACTAAGAGAAAATATTTGCAAGTCTCATACCTGCAAAGTATTGGCATCTAGGCTAGATAAAGAATTTTCAAAATATAACAAATAACAATTTAATTCAAAAATGAACAAAAATATTAGCAGAAATTTCACCAAAGAAGATATGCAGATCCAAATAAATACATGAAAAGATGTTCGATATCATTATCCGTTAGGAAAATTCAAGTTAAAATCAAAACGAGACATCACATACACCTTTCAGAATGACTAAAATATAAAATAGTGGCAATGCCAAATGCTGGTGAGAATACAGAGAAATTGGCTCACTCATGCATTTGTAGTGGGCGTGAAGAGTAATGCAGGTACTCTGGAAAACTGTTTCATGATTTCTATTAATAAACTAAACTAAACATAGTACTACTACATAACCCAGTAATTTCAGTTCTGGGCATTTATCCCAGAGAAATGAAAACTTATGTTCACATAACAAACTGTACCTGAATGTTCATAAGAGGTTTACTTGCAACAATCAAAAGTTTAATCACCTCAGATTTTCTACAGGCGATAAATGTGGCATATGCATATCATGGAACACTACTCAGCAATAAAAAGGAACGAACTATTGATACACAAAACAGCATGGGTGAATTTCCAGGAAATTATGATATGTAAAAATTAAGAAAAACCATCCCCAAATGTATTACAGGCATACTTCATTTAATTTCACCTTAGTTGTGTTTCACAGATATTGCATTTTTTACAGTTTGAACGTTTGTGGCAACCTTGCGTTGAATAAGTCTGTCAGTACCATTTTTTCCGGTCGCATGTGCTCACTTCCTGTCTGTGTGATAGAGTTTGGTAATTCTCCCAATATTTCAAACTTTTTCATTACTATATCTGTTACAGTGATCCGTGATTAGTGACCTTTGATGTTACTATTGTAATTGCTTTTTGGTGCCATAAACTACACTAATATAAGATGTTAAACTACTGATAAATGTGGTGTGCATTCTGACTCCTCTGCCTATCAGCTGTTCTTCCATCTCTCCCTGTTCTCAGGCCATCCTATCCTCTAAGACACAATAATAATAATATAATTAGGCCAACTAATAACACCACAATGGCTTCTATGTGTTCAAATGAAAGGAAGAGTTGAACATCTCTCACTTGAAAACAAAAGCTAGAAATGATTAAGCTTAATGAGGAAAGCTTGTTGGCAGCCAAAATAGGCCAAAAGCTAGACTTTTTGTGCCAAACAGTAGGCCAAAATGTGAATACAAAGAAAATGTTCTTGAATGAGATTAGAAGTGCTATTCAAAAGTGAACAAATGTCTGATAAGAAAGTGAAACAGCCTTATTGCTGGTATGAAGAAAGATTAGGTAGTCTAGATATATCAAACCTGCTACACACATTCCCTTAAGCCAAAACAATGCAAGAGCAAGGCTCTAACACATGCTTTCATTCTGTAAAGACTGTTGAGAGGAGAAGAAGCTGCAGAAGAAAAGTCGGAAGTTACCAGAGGTTGGTTCATGAGGTTTAAGGAAAGAATTATCTCCGTAACATAAAAGTGCAAAGTGAAACAGCAAGTGCTGATGGAATAGCTGCAGCAACTTATTTAGAAGATATAGCTAAGATCATTAATGATGGTAGCTACACTAAACAACAGATTTCCCATGTAAATGAATCAGACTACTGTTGGAAGAAGACATCATCCATCAGGACTCTCATAGCTGGAGAGGAGAAGTCAATGCTTGGCTTCAAAGCGTCAAAGCACAGCTGAATCTCTTGTTAAGAGCTAACACAGTTGGTGACTTTAAGTTAAAGCCAATGCTCATATATCATTCTGAAAATCCTAAGGCCTTTAAGAATTATGCTAAATCTACTCTGCCTGTGCTCTATAAATGTAACAAAAAAGCCTGGAAGACAGCACATCTGTTTACAGCATGGGTTTACTGAATATGATAAGCTCACTGTTGAGAACTACTGCTCAGAAAAAAGATTCTTTCTAAAATATTACTGCTCATTGACAATGTACCTGGTCACCCAATAACTTTGATGATGATGTACAAGAAGAATAATATTGTTTTCATGCCTGCTAAAGTATCTATTCTGCAGACCATGAATCAAGAAATAATTTCAACTTTCAAGTGTTATTATGAAATAGATTTTTTATGACTATAGCTGCCATAAATAGTGACTCCTCTGATGGAACTTGGCAAAATTTTGTGGGCAAGTTTTACCACGTTAGATGTCATCAAGACCATTCACGATCCATGAAAGAAGGTTAACAAGTCAACTTTAACAGGAATTTGGAAGAAGTTGATTTTAACTTTCATGGGTGACTTTGTGTGGTTCATTATTTCAGTGGAGGAAGCAACTACAGCTATCATGGAAATAGCAAGAGAGGTAGAATTGGAAGTGGAGGTTGAAGATGTGACTGAATTGCTGCAATCTCATGATAAAACTTGAATAGATGAGGAGTTGCTTTTTATAGATCAGCAAAGTGAGTGGTTTCTTGATATGGAATTTACTCCTGGTGAAGGTGCTGTGAAGATTTTTGAAATGACAACAAACAGTTTAGAACATTACAATGGTTTATAATGATATATACATAGTTGATAAAACAGTGGCAAGTTTTGAGAATATTGACTCCAATTTTGAAAGAAGTTCTACTGTGAGTAAAAGGCTGTCAAACAGAATCACATGCCAAAGAGAAATTTTCTTGAAAGGAAGAGTCAATTGATAAAGCAAACTTCATTGCTGTCTTAAGAAATTGTTACAGCCACACAAACATTCAGTAACCACCAACCTGATCAGTCAGCAGCCATAAATATAAAGACAAAACTCTCCACCACCGAAGAGACTACAACTTGCTGAAGGCTCAGATAATGGTTAGCATTATGTAGCAATAAAGTATTTTTAATTAAGGTGTATACATTGTTTTTTAGACATAATGCTATTACACACATAACAGATTACAGTGTTAGGTAAACATAACTTTTATAGGCATTAGGAAACCAAGAATTTCATGTGACTTGCTTTATAATGGTATCTGCTTTATTGTAGTAGTCTGAAACCAAACCCCACAATGTCTCTGAGATATGTCTGTACAACATGACTGTATTTTATAACATTTTTGATATGACAGAATTTTAAAAATGGAGGACAGAGTAGTGGTTACTGGGAATTAGAGAGATGGAAAATGTGGCAGGAGGAAGATAGGTAATGGATAAAAGCAGAAGGAATGTTAAGGTTAGAACTGTTCATTATTTTGACTGTAGCAGCGGACTCAGGTGAAAAGGTTGTATAGAACTTAATATATGTACACATACTCCAGATGAAACTGGAGAAATCTGAGTAAGTGGATTTTATCAATATCAATATCCTGGTTGTCATATCATACTATAGTTTTCCAATTTACCATCAGGGAAATGGAGGAATTGTGAAAGATATTTTGTATACTATTACCTGCAATTGGCATGTAAAGTTACAATGACTCAACTAAAAAAAATGAAAAAGGCAGAAAAATGATATCCTGGGACACAAATTATGTAAAAAATATAATAATGTCATGTTTTTGATAAGACTGCTCAATATTATATAATTTAATTTTTCCTAAATTTCCATGTAAATTTCCTATGATCCAATAGAACACTAAAAACTATTTTTGGTTTCAGAAACATGGAAACAAAAATTCTATTCAGTAAATAAACTTCAGTAAAAGAAGAGAACTCACTAGAGCTCACTAAAGTTGAATATAAAATAGATTCTGAAATTACAATATGTTAAAAATGTTTTGTTGGTGAATTGATTGATAGAATGGAAAGTCTAGAGAGAAATATACTCTTGAACTTAATGTATTTTATCAGCTGAAAAAAAAATTATTCAGTGAATGATTTTGGGACAACAGGATTATCAGTGTAAAAAGCAAAGCTGAGACCTCTTCTACTATTTTATCTACCTCAAATTTCTGAATTGATCTAAAATTAAGAATGATAAATTAAATCATAAAAGTTCCACAAATATAGGATGATTTTCTAATAATGCTGGAATGAATAAACATGACACAATATTTAGGTATCATAAAAGTAAGAATAAGGTTAAATAAATTTAAAATACCTGCATGAAGACAAAAATATGTAAACATAAATGACAAAGAGAGGTGGGAAAATATTTGCAATTCATATCACATAAATAGGGCTAGATTCTCTGTTAAATAAATATGAAAAATGCATAATATAGATACATTAGCTCAATACAAATGCACAAAAAATATGAACAGTCAATTTAATTAAGTCAGTTTTAATAGTTTCAAACATATAAAACTGATCTCACTCATAATTTTAAAAATTATATTAAAATTATATGATGCCATTTTTCATAGCTTGGTTAGGCACTAACCAAATTTATATGTCATAATCTTAGAGGGAGTGGAAAGATAGGCAATGTCTAACCTGATGCTTGGAGTTCAACTATAATGCAGTTAGAAATATTTATCAAAATTAGTATTTCACTTACCCTCTGATATAGCAATATAGCAATTGTGTTACTTGAAATAATATATGATATTTGACAATATCTAAATATGACACAGCTATACATAGTTGTGTATATGTATGTCTACAATTGTAGCTGTTAAGAATAAACTGCACATATATTTATACATAAATTTCAAAATATAATGCTAATTAAATAAATCAATGTACAGAATATTGTATATAGTGAACTCTTTTTGGCTGTATAAAATATATATGTGCATAAATGTAATACATGTTGTATGCTTATATATGTCTCCAATATCTTGAAGAGTATCTTCAAAAGCACTGCCAAGAACTGTCAACAGTAGTTGTCCCTGGGAGAAAAAGGAGAAGTCAGGGGCAGGGGTAAGGTAGAGTTTGTTTTTCCATATTGCATGTAGTGCCAATGGAAAAATAAATAAAATTTAATTCAAATATAAAAAAGAATAATAAATATTAATTGCTATCATTTGTACTTATATATTATTTACTTTCAGATAAAGTATTACTGGTTTACTTTGCTTGTCTCTTAGTAAAAGCAAAGTATATTTTTTAAATGTTCCTTAATTTATATTCTGTGAGAAATAATATCTTTGAACTACCTTTGACCTGTTTGTTCTTTTCCTATTTTCATACTAGCAGATTTAAATAAATGTCATATGATTATGTAACTCTGAGTTTAGATGGCCTCTTTATGTTCTTTTAAAAATTATCTATAAACATTTAGAAAATATAGCTAGAATTATTTCCAAAAGTAGCATTGTAATTTCCTGGACTCATTTACCTTTTGAACTTGCTTTCCAGAGGACATTCCTATTCATTATCATTAGCAAAAATCAATTTATTGAACTCATTTCTCTAACAAAATAATTTCCCTTTCTCTACCCGTTTATATTTAGAAAATCCTTTCTCAAATGTGCCTCTCTCTCCACCCTTAAATAATGCCTTGGATATCTTTAATTAATTTTTCGTCATATATATATATTTTTCGTCATATATATATATATATATATATATATATATATATATATAACTTTGACTACAAAGTTATTTTTTTAATCCTTATTTTGATCCTTACTGGATTCAGAGGGAATGGCATCACATGCCATTTCTAAACAACTTCTGTGTCACTTGTTAGTCATCTAAAAGTTCAAGATTGTATGACGATATCGGCTCAAAAGTAAGAAAACAATTTCTTTGTTCTATTTGAAGGTTTTCTGTTTCCCTTTATACCTGAAGGAAGATTTAGTTATGTAGGCATAATTATCACCAATTCACATTTTTTTAATGCAAAGAAATGCCAAAGCCATTGCACATGGAAAAAATACTTGATAAAGTAGATTTTACTGAAATTATGATAAAGTAGACCTTACTGAAATTAAAAATTTCTGTTTTGCAAAAGACAATGTCAAGAGAATGAGAAGACAAGCCTCAGAATGAGAAGAAACATTTGTAAAAGATACATCTAATAAAGCAGTTTTATCCAAAATATATAATACAAAGATCTCTTGAGACTCAACATTAAGGAAGCAAACAACCAGAATAAAAAATGAGCTCCAGATACTAACAGCCACCTCATCAAAGACAATACACAGATAACAAATTACCATATGAAAATGTGGTCTCTATCATATGTCATCATGGAAATTCAAATTAAAGCCACAGTGAGATACCACTACACACCTATAAGAATAGCCAAAATCCAGAATACAGACAACACCATACGCTAATGAGGATTAGGAGCAACAGGAACTCGTATTCATGCTGGTGGGAATGCAGCAAGGTAAGTTTCTTTGGAAAACAGTATAGCAGTTTCTTACAAAACTAGAAATACTCTTACCATGCGACCAATTAATCACAGTTCTTGGCAACTACCCAAAGGAGTTAACACAGGTCCTATATGTATACAGGTCTTTGTGTGAGGCTTATGTCCATACAAAAATCTGTACACATATGTTTATAGCAGCATTATTCGCAATTGCCAGCACTTGGAAGCAACCCAGATTTCCTTCAGGAGGTGAATGAATAAACTGGTATATCCAGACAATGGAATATTATTCAGCACTAAAAAGAAATGAGCTATCAAGATATGAAAAGAATCTTAAATGCATAATACCAAGTGAAATAAGCCAATCTGAAAAGGCTACATACTGTATGATTTCAAATATATAACATTTTGGGAAAGGCAAAACTCTGGAGACAGGGAAAAGATTGGTGGTTGCCAAGGGTTGAGTGAATGAGGAGAGAGAAGAATAGACCGAGCAAAGAGTATCTTCAGGGCAGTAAGGATATACTGTATGATACTATAATGGTGGGTACATGTCATTCATTTTTCCAAGCCCTTAAAAGGTGCAATAATAATGAACCCTATGTATGATGAACTTCAGGTAAGTATGATATGTCAACATGGTTTCATCAATTGTAGCAAATGTATTACTCTGTTGGGGGATGTTAATAATGAGGGAGACTATGTATGTGTAAAAGTGAGGGTTGTATGGGAAATCTCTGTATCTTCCCCTCAATTTTTCTGTGAACCCAAAACTGCTCCAAGAAACAAACTTATAAAAGTTCTTTGGAGGCATTTTCAAAAAGATGTTTGATCTTCTCTTTCCTTCTCTTTTTTAAATGGGCTGTCACCCTCATTGTATTTACATTTCATCACTTCTATGGAATGTATTTGCCTTTTCTATGTATTTACCATAAAGTAAGTGATGTCTTGAATATTCTTTTTGACTTCATTGAAATACTAGCATGGTGGCTATTGGAGGATTAGTTTATCTTTCTCATTATGAAGTATAGTCTTTTCCTTCTTAATATAGTTCCTTGTTAATTTAATAATTTCAATGTTATTGGTTTGGGGAAATACAGCTATGTTTATGTATAAACTATAAATGTGAATATTAAAATTTAATTTTTGAATTCTAGTGTTCTTTCAAAGGCATCAATTGCTAGTCTTGAATTTTTGAAGGTATTAGAATGAAGACAATGTACAAAGCTTTATTTCAAAAAATCTATTTCGGCTATGCTGTAAAATATTGATACTATAAGAATATAAACTTAAGAAGATGAACTTAAGGACCTTGTCAGAGTTGATGCAGTGTACTCTTTGCAGGCAGACCATTTTCTCTTCCTTGGAAAGTAGCATGGGCATATTTTCCAATATCCCTTGTAGTTCAGTTAGAAGCCATATGACTTTCTGGATAATGGAATGTGAACTGCAGTGACATAAGCCAACTTCAGCCTTGAAACCTAAAATCATTTTATGCAATGTTTCATCTCTGTCTTCATCTCCTAGGAACATTTCCCTCTCTGGATACATGTGTTTCAGATCACAAAGCCATAGATGAGAGGAGTCTCTCTTTCTAAATCACTTTTTGAAGAACACCTACTCAAGAGAGTCACCTGACCCCGTTGGAATATAAGATGTGTGGGAAATCTACCTTATTGCATTAAACTACTCAGATTTTTGTGTGGTTGGTTAAACAGTATTAATTACTATAACTAATGCAAGGATAAAATAAGCATCTATCTACTGTTCCTTGAACGATATAAACTATATATATATAGATAGATAGATATAGATATCCTTAAATTTTAGTACCTTAATCTTTAAGCACTTCTCCCAAGATGCCCCTTGCTGCCATCTCCTTGTGTTTTGAAAACTGTGTCTCACAAGTGAAGAAATAATGGAGAAATAATGTATTTGTTAGAAGAATCATTTCAATATATCTTGGATCATTCCTAACCTTATGAGATAAATGGTATATCTGCACAAGTATGACCAGTATTAGCATAAACACTGGACTTTCTGGGAGCAACTTGAAAGGTAAGTCAGAACTGAGTATGTGACAATACAACAAGACACAATTTGTTGAGGAAATTGCAGGAGCAAAAGAAGAAAGATCAAATAGCTTAAAGTTTAAAGGAAGTATACTTTATGAACACACAGGTCCTGGAAAGACAATTTAGATAGCAGATTATAGCAATTTTATGAATAGCCTTGAATGTTTGAATATGGAGTCAAAACAGGCAGTGGGAAACCAGTATGCTTTTGAATAAGTTAGTTGGTTGCATGATCAGAGCTGGACTTGGAAAAATCAATCTATCAATAAGATGTGGAATTATAGCAGGAGAGAGTAGAAACGTGTAGACAAGTGGGGGTGTTACTGAAACTGCTTATGAGTTAATAAGGGAGCTGGAAATTAAGGAATATTTTAGTGTAGTATTGTGGAGGTAAAATGCATAGTGTTGGGCAACTGAGTGGCTATGGAAGGCATTAAATGTAGGAAAGTCAAAGATTATTTAGTTTTTGAGTCTAAAATGGACAGATTACCAAATTTATTTTAAAAAGATTAGAAAGAAAATGACAAATTCATTTTAAATAATATTGACTTCCATAAAGATGAATCAAAATGAAGTATGAATCCAATATGAGAACAATTTTCCAATATTATTCATGCATCAAATATTTTTAAATGATGATTATTATAAGAACAAAATACCTAAAATGTTTATTTACTATATTATTTGGACTATACCGTGTGAAATATATGTATCATAAAAATATTCATGGTAAATTTATATGAGCAGGGCAGACATTTCCATGTTGTCAGCAAGTCAAGTTTTATTTCAGTCTTCCTGGGTACATAGGAAGTCTACATTAGTTTAGCTGCTTTGACAGTCTGGGTTGTTCTTACTCTGTTCTGGCCTGGTCATAAATATCCCCCCCACAATAATCCATGATCTTTATTTCCTTCATGGTGTCCTTGGAGGACCCATGTTAATGATGGCAGCACTGCAAAAGGGAAGGAAGCTGAGCTGCCTGGTGAATGCTTGGAAGAGAGCTACCAAGGACTGCGCAGAACCCTAATTAGACTACGACATGAACTTTGGTGGAACTCCCCTGTTGTCCCAGTTACTCAGGAGGCTGAGGCAGGAGAATCACTTGAACCCAGGAGGCGGAGGTTAAAGTGAGCTGAGATCGCACCACTGCACTCCAGCCTGGGTGACAGAGCAAGACTCCGTCCCAAAAAAAAAGTCTTTTTTTTTTTTTGACAGATGAGATTTCACAGTTTTCATCACAGTCTGTATCTTAACTAATATAAAAGTGGCTCTTTGAAGTGGGGACTTGTCTTAGCATAATCCAAAGGTACGTGACATTGACTTAACAGATTACATCAAATGAGAAAAGTGATATTGAAGATTTTTAACAATCATAATTCATCTTTGCCATGGCAAAAATCATCACCTGCAATAATAGAGAAAAAAAACATGTTCCTGTCAGGTCAGCCAGCCTAGGGGATAAGACTAGAAAACAGGACTTAGAATACCAGAACTTATTATTGTGTGTTGGCTCTATGGGATGGACTTAGAAAACGTATCACATGTGGTAGGTTAACACGTGAATAACCCAGCCAGTTTGTAATCAGTGATAAAGGGATAATGGGTTTTTGGGGGGTTAAAAAGCCACTGTTTCAAACTCCAAAGAATGAAAACGAAAGTTCTGATAAAATATCTCAGTTGAATAAGGAGAGAGAGAAAGAGAGAGAGAGAGATAACTTTGGGTGTAGTTAGTGATGAATGCAATGATGAAGAACATGTAGAAATGGAGCCTACTGAATTTGTAAAGGTATTTTATT
Source organism: Homo sapiens (assembly GCF_000001405.40). Lineage (NCBI taxonomy): Eukaryota > Metazoa > Chordata > Mammalia > Primates > Hominidae > Homo > Homo sapiens. The sequence continues at coordinate 120,138,859 of NC_000007.14, read as the reverse complement.
ATTAAAGAAACCATAAAGCTGGGCTAAAAACACCTTCAACTTTTGGAATCATTAGTCCTCTAGTTTTCCATGAGCAGGAGGGTTTAAAGGCAGTACAAGTCCAAAGGATGGTGTGCTCCAAAATATTGATTTCACATTTGGCCAAGGAGAATGACAGATAAGGCAGAACTTCCCAGAGGGTAGAGCAAACAATAAACAGAATGGCAAACAATGAACAGAAAATTCCACCCAGATAAAACATGCAGGGCCCTAATAAATGTTGCTCATTTTAATTGTTGCAACCCAACAAATGGGCTTTTGTTAAGAACCTGAGTTTTAATTATAGTAAATTTGACATGATTCACTGAAGTTCGGAAAGGGAAAGTAATTTCAAAACTGAATAAAAAGATAGGATGCACATTATTATTGTTATACCTCTATAATATGTACTCTAACAGAGCCTTTATTGTTATTACAAAATGTACCATCTGCTCTCTTTCACAATAATGTGAAGCTGTTGACACATAAACACACACAAATGCACACACACACACACAAATACTCATATACATTTTTCTAAGATATAGCTGCATATATACATGTTGAGAATTGGAACCTATATATGTACACATAAATATATTTATCTCTTCTGTATAAAGTAACATTGGAATATTTTGTTGATTTTCCATAGGCAGTAATAGGAATAAAAAACAAACTATTTTTGCTATTAAATATGACTTCTGGAAACAATGGTGGTGATTGCATAGGAATGAGGTGGAGATTTCCTAGTGAAATGGAAGTGCACAAACATAGGATCCCTATTACATACGAGATACTCTGCTTTGTGTTAAATACTTTTACTCATACATGATAACTAATGAATTAATACTATTATTTACATTTAAATGAGAGAATGGAGACAAAATGTCTCTTTTGCATTGCACAATTAAGTAACAAAGTGAGATATTGTATAAGTGAAAGAGGTACTTAATTTCCTCAATATAAAGATAACACAGAAATAAAACCACCTGCAGAAAAACCAGATTACTCTAATGGATTCAGAAGTTATTTTTAGGGATCATTTTACAAGAAAGAGTTTAAAGTATTATATTTTACTCTCATCAGCAACATTTTTGTTGCCTGAAATTTAGATCAAAATACTGCATATTAGCTACCAGCACATTCAATTTCTATTTATTTGTTTGTAATATTTGTGGGTACATAGCAGGTATATATATTTATAAGGTACATGAGATATTTTGATATAGGCATACAATGCATAATAATAACATCATGGTAAATAGAGTATCCATCACTGCAAACCTTTATCCTTTCTTTGTGTTATACACAATCCAATTATATTCTTTTTGTTATTCTAAAATGTATAATAAATTTGTGTTGACTGTACTCACTCTGTTGTGCCATAAAATAATAGATTTTATTCATTCTAGCTAACTATATTTTTGAATGCACTAGCCATCCTTACTTTCTTCCCACCCCCACTACCCTTCCCAGCCTCTGGTAATTATCATTCTATATCTTCTTGAGTTCACTTGTTTTAATTTTTTTAGCTCTCACAAATAAGTTAGAACATGCAAAATTTGTCTTTCTGTGTCTGGCTTATTTCACTTAAAATAATAACTTCCAGTTACATCCATGTTGTTGCAAATGACAAGATTTCATTCTTTTTTATGGCAGGATGGTTCTCTATTGTGTATATATACCACATTTTCTTTATCAGTTCATCTGTTGATGGACACTTAGGTTGATTCCAAATCTTGACTATTGTGCTATTGCTAGTAGTGCTTCAGTAAACACGTGAATGCAGCTGTCTCTTCAATATAGTGATTTTCTTTCTTTACCTAACAGTGAGATTGCTGGATCATATGGCAGCTCTATTTTCAGTTTATTGAGGAACCTTCAAACTGTTCTCCATAGTGGTTCTACTAATTTACATTTCCACCAATAATGTACAAGGGTTCCCTTTCCTCCACATCCTTGCCAGCATTCATTACTGCCTGTTTCTTGTATAAAAGTTATTTTAAATGGGGTGAGATATCAAAAGTATTGCAATGATGTTAAGCCCTTTTCATATGCCTGTTTACCATTTACATGTCTTCTTTTGAGAAATGTCTGTTCAGATCCTTTGCCCATTTTAAAATGGGATTATTAGATTTTTTCCTATTTAGTTGTTTGAGCTCTTTATATATTCTGCTTATAAATCCCATGTCAGATACATAGTTTTCAAATATCTTCTCCCATTCTGTGAATTGTTTCTTCGTTGTGCCGATTGTTTCTTATGCTGTGCAGAAGCTTTTTGACTTCATATGATCCTGTTTGTTATTTTTTGCTTTGGTTGCCTGTGCTTATGGGGTGTTACTCAAGAAATCATTGCTCAGTCCAATGTCCTGGGGAATTAACCAATGTTTTCTTGTAGTAGTTTCATAGGTTGAGGTCTTAGATTTACATTCGTAATCCATTTTGATTTGGTATTTGTATATGGTGTGAGATAGCAGTCTTGTTTCATTCTTTTGTATATGACTATTCAGTTTTCACAGCACCATTTATTGAAGAGACTCTTTCCCTTAATATATGTTATTGCAACCTTTGTAGAAAATAAGTATACTGTAGATGTTTGGATTTATTTCTGGGTTCTGTATTCTGTTCTATTGATCTCTCTCTGTTTTTATGCCAGTATCATGCTGCTTTGGTTACTATATCTCTGTAGTATAATTTGAAGTCAAATAATGCAATTTCTCATTTTGTTCTTTTTGCTCAGGATGGCTTTGGCTATTACAGGTCTTTTGCAGTTCTACATAAATTTTAAGATTGATTTTGCTATTTCTGTGAAAAATATCATTGGTATTTTGATAGGGCTTGCATTGAATCTGTCGATTGCTTTAGGTAGTATGAACATTTTAACAATATTCATTATTCCAATCCATAAACATAGACTATCTTCCCAGTTTTTTGTGTCCTCTTCATTTTATTTCATCAGTATTTTATCGTTTCCATGGTAGAGATTTTTCACTTCTTTGATTAATTCCTACATATTTTTCTGCATAGGTATCGTAAATGGGATTACATTTTTAAGTTTTCTTTTCAGATCGTTTGTTGGCATATAGAAATTCTACTGATTGTTTAATGTTGATTTTGTACCCTGCAACTTTCCTGAATTTATTGATCAGTTCTCATAGTTTTTTGGTGGAGTGTTATGGCTTTTCCAAATATAAGATTATACACTCTGCAAACAATAATTTGACTTATTTTCTATCCAATTTAGATGCCCTTTATTTCTTCCTCTTGTCTGGTTGCTCTAGCTAGGACTTCGGTACTATGTTAAATAACAGTGGTGAGAATCGGCATCATTGTCTTTTTCAAGATCTTAGAGGAAAGGCTTTCAGTTTTTTTCTATTCAGTATGATACTAGCTGTGAATCTGTCATATATGGCTTTCATTGTGTTAAGGTATGTTCTTTATAGTTTTTTGAAGGTTTTTAAAACTCATCAAATGATGTTGAATTTTATCAAATGCTTTTTTAGCATCAACTGAAATGATCACATGGTTTTTTACCTTAATTCTGTTGATATAAGGTATGACATTGATTGAGTTGCATGTGTTCAACTGTCCTTGCATCCCTGGGAAAGACCCACTTGGTCATGTTGACTTATCTTTTTATTGTGTTACTGAATTTGGTTGTTAGTATTTATTGAGGATAGTCATCAGGGACATTTGCCTGTAGTTTTCTTTTTTTGATGTGTCTTTATTTGGCTTTGGTATTAGTGTAATACTGGCCTTGTAGCATGAGTTTGGAAGTATTACCTCCTCCTCTATTTTATTCAGAATAGTTTGAGTAGGATTGCTGTTTTTTTTTTATTATTATTATTGTTTGGTAAAGTACAGCAGTGATACCACTGAGTCTTGAATTTTTCTTCACTGGGAGGCTTTTTATTATGACTTTTATCTCATTATTTGTAAGTGATCTCTTCAGGTTTTGCTTTCGTCATGTCTCAATCTTACTAGGTTGTATGTGCTTAGGAATTTACTCATTTCTTGTAGGTTTTCCAATTTATTGGGCATATGCTTGCTCATAGTAGCCTGTAATAATCTTTTGAATTTTTGCAGTATACAGTTGCAATGTCCCCTTTTTCATCTCTGAGTTTATTTATTTGGGTGTTCTCTCTTTTTTTCTTAATCTAGGTAAATTTTGTTAATTTTATTTATCTTTTCAAAAATCTTTTTTTGTTTCATTTACCTTTTGTAATTTTTTTCATTTCAATTTCATGTATCTCTGCTCTCACTTTCATTATTTCTTTTCTTCTACTAATTTGGGGTTTGGTTTGATCTTTCTTTTCTAGTTCTTGAATATAGATTGTAAGGTTACTTATTTGAAGTTCTTCTACGTTTAATGTAGGTGCTTATTGGTACAAACTTTGATTTTAGTATTGCCTTCACTTTATGCCATAGGTTTTGGTATGTTGTGATTCCATTTTCATTTGTTTCAAGAATTTTTAAATTTTCTTAATTTCTTCATTGACCCACTGGTCTTCCAGGAGCATATTGTTTAATTTCCATATGTTTGACTAATTTTCAAAATTCCTCTTGCTATTGATTTCCAGTTTTATTCTTTAGTGGTAAGAGAAGACACTTGATATAATTTAAATTTTTGAATGTTTTAGGAATTTTGAATATTTTGTGGCCTAATATATGGTCTATCCTTGAGAATAATCCATGTGCTGAGAAAAAGAATGCATATTCTTCAACCATTAGACAAAATATTCTGTAAATATCTATTAAGTCCATTTGGTCTATAGTGTGATTAAGACTGATGTTTCTTTGTTGTTTTTCTGTCTGGAAGACCTGTCCAAAGCTGAAAGTGGGTGTTAAAGTCTCCAGCTACTACTCTATTGAGGTCTGTCTCTCTCACTTCAGCTTTATTAAATTTGCCTTATATGTCTGGGTGCTCCATTGTTGGGTGCATATATATTTACAATAGTTTTATTCTCTTGCTGAATTGATCTTTTTGTTATGTAATAAACTTTTTTTGTCTTTTCTTAAAGTTTTTGCCTTGAAATCTATTTTGTCTGACATAGGTATAACTACTCCTGTCCTTTTTTCATTTCCTCTTACATGGTGTCTCTTTTGTTATTCCTTTATTTTCAGTCTATTTGAGTCTATAGGTGAATTGTATTTCCTATAGACAACAGATATTTGGTCTTGTTTTTAAATCTATTAAGCTACTCTATGTCTTTTGATCAGAAAGTTTAGTCCATTTACATTCAGTGTTATTATTGATAAATAAGGACGTACTCTTTACTCTTGCCATTTTGTTATTTGTATTCTGTGTGTGTGTGTTTGTGTGTGTGGGTGTGTGTGTTTGTGGTATTCTCTGCCTTCTTTCCTTCCTTCCTGTATTTTTTTAGTGAGGGTGATTTTCTCTGGTGTATCTTTTAATTTCTTGCTCTTTATCTTTTGTGGGTTTTTTTCTTTTGAGGTTACCATGATGCCTGCAAATACTATCTTATAACCCATTATTTAAACTGATTACAATTTAATACTGACAGCACAAACCAACAAACAAAGAGAAAACTAATAAAACTCTACACTTTAACTTCTTCCCCCTGCTTTTTAACTTTTCATTGTTTCTATCTACATCTTATTATACTTTGTCTTGAAAAAGTGTAATTATTTCTTATTGGTTTGTCTGTTAGTCCTTCTGCTGAAGATATAGTTTATACACTATAAGTACAGTGTTATAATATTCTGTTTTTTTCCATACTTACATTTACTAGTGAGTTTTGTACCTTCAGATGATTTTTTTACTGCTAATTAATATGCTTGTCTTTCCGATTGAAAAATCTCCCTTTAGCATTTCCTGTGGGACAGATCTGGTGTTAATGAAATCTCTCAGTTTTTGTTTAGAAATGTCTTTATTTCTCCTTCATTTTGAAGGATATTTTCACTAGATACACTATTCTACGATAAGGTTTTTTTTTTTTTTCTTCAGCACTTTAAATAAATCCTGTCATTCTCTCCTGGCCTGTAATGTTTCCACTGAGAAGTCTGCTGCCAGATGTATTGAAGCTCCCTTATACGTTATTTGTTTCTTTTCTCTGGCTGCTGTTAGGGTCCTTTTTCTTATCATTGACTTTTGGCAATTTATTAAATGTCTTAAGGTAGCCTTCTGTGGATTAAATCTGCTTGGTGTCCTACAACCTTACTGTACTTGACTATTGATATCTTTCTCTAGGTTTGGGAAGTTCTCTGTTATTATCTGTTTGAATAAACTTTCTATCATGATCTGTCTCTCTGCCTCCTCTTTAGGGTCAATAATTCTGGGATTTGTGCTTTGAGACTATTGTGCCCTTTTGAGGCTATCTTGTAGGGGTGTTTTATTCTTTTTTATTCCTTTTTGTTCATCTCCTCTCACTGTGGATTTTCAAATAACCTATTTTCAAGCTCACTAATTCTGTTTTCCTGCTTGATCAGTTCTGCTGTTTAGTGTCTCTGGTGCATTCTTCAATATTTCAGTTGCATTTTTTAGCTCCAGCATTTTTGTTTGATTCTTTTTAAATTATTTCAACCTCTTTGTTAAATTTATCTGATAGCATTCTTAATTCATTCTGTGTTATCTTGGATTTCATTGAGCTTCCTCAAAACAGCAATTTTTAATTCTCTGTCTGAAAGGCCACATATTTCTGTCTCTCTGGGATTTGTCCTTGGTGCCTTATTTACTTCCCTTGGTGAGGTCATGTTTTCCTGGATGGTCTTGATGCTTATGGATGTTTATCATTGCCTGGGTATTGAAGAGTTGGGTATTACTTGTAGTCTTCACAATCTGAGCTTGTGTATACCTGTCATTGTTAAGAAGACTTTCCAAGTATTTGAATGGACTTGGGTATTGTGATCTAAGTCCTTGGTCACTGCAGGCACATCTGCTTTAGGGGGCACCTGAAGCCTAGTAATGTTGTGGCTCTTGCAGACTCATAGCAGTACTACCTTGGTGGTCTTATGTAAGATCCGGGAGTATTCCTTGGGTTACCAGGCAGAGACTCTTGTTTTCTTCCCTTACTTCCAAACAAAATGGACTCTCTCTTTCTATGCTGAGCTGTCTGAAGCTGAGTGAGGGAAGACACAAGCTCCCATGTGGCCACTACCACTGGGACTAAAATGAGTCATTCCCAAGGCCAGAATAGCCCTGGGTTTTGCCCAGGGCCTGCAGTGACCTCTGCCTGGCTATCGGCTATGTTTACTCAAGGCACAAGGGCTCTACAATCAGCACGTGGCAAATCCAGCCAGGCTTGTGTCCTTCCTCTTAGGAAAACTAGTCCCCCTTGGCACCAGGCAGGTCCCAGAGATTCCATCCCGGAGTTAAGTCCTGGATTGGGAACCTGAGGAATCTATCTGGTGCTCTATTCTACTGCAGTTGAGCTGGCATCCAAGGCACAAAATGAAGTCCTTCCCACTTTTCCCTCCCCTTTCCTCAAGTAGGGAAGTCTCTCCCCATGGTCACCTTGGCCCCAGTCCCATGGCAAGTACTGCCTGGCTACTGCCAACATTCACTCAAGGCCCAAGGGCTCTTCAGTCAGCTTGTGGTGAATGCTGCAAGTCTTCAATCTCCCCCTTCAGTGAAGTGGGCTTCCCTCTGGCCAAGGGCAGGTCCAGAAATGCTATTCAGAAGCGAAGGCCTGGAATCAGGGACACTAGGAATCTGCTTGGTACTTAATGCTACTGTGGCCGACTTGGTACATGAGCTGCAAGACAAAATCCTTTCCTTTTCCTTTCCTCAAGCATTAGGAGTTTCTCCCCAGTCACCCCAGCTGGAAATTTCCTGGGTCACACCTGAAGCCAGCATGGCTCTGAGTCTTACTCACTAAAGCCCACAGTGAGTACTGCCTGGCTACCACTGCTGATTATTCAGGGCCCAAGAGCTCTTTATTCTGCAGGTGATTAATTCTTTCAGGACTGGGTCCTTCCATTCAAGGTAGTGGTTTCTTTTCTGGCCAACGGTGTGTTAGAAACATCACCTGGAAGTTAGGTCCTGGAACGGGACCCTCAGAACTCTGCCTGGTGCCCTATTTTACTGTGACTGAGCTGAAAGCCAAGTTACAAGACAAAGTTGTCTTTACTCTCCCCTCTTCTCTCCTCAAGCAGAGGGAAGGTGTCCTCCCCAGAGTTGTGAGCTGTGCTACTGGGAGTTGGGGGAAGGGTGACACAAGCACTCCCTTGGCTGCCCCAGCTGGTGTCTCACTAGGTCACATGCACCTCAAGTCCACTGGCTCTGAACCCAGCAGAGCACCAGCACCTGCCCAGAAATTGCAGTCCTTGTGGCCTAGATGGCCTTTCAAGTGTATTTAGGACCCCAGAACCCCTTAATTTGTGGTGGCAGGGCTTGCTGAAACTCAGGTCTGATTGCTGGGATGGATGACTTGCTTCTAGATAAATCTGGTCTAAATGCTTCTTGCATGGGCACTAGCTGAGTTCTGCCTCATTTTGCTTTCCACTGTGACAGGGCAGCACTGAGTTCCAATGCAAAGTCCCAAAATTACTGCACTCTCCTTTCCCCAAGTGCACAGATTTTCTCTCCTGTCACATGGTTGCTGTCAGTAAATGTGGGATGGGTTGTGTAAGCAATTCAGGGCTGTCTTTCTTACCTTCTTCTGTGCTTCTTTCTTTAATTTGATGTAAATACCAGGTACTGTGATTGCTTATCTGATTTTTGGTTCTTAAGAAGGTGGGTTTTTGTGTGTGTGTGTGTGTGTGTATAGTTGTTCAATATGGTGTTCCTGTTGGGGCGATGATTGTTGGAAGCCTCTATTTGGCCATCCTGCTCTGCCATGTCCACCCAGCACATTCATTTTTGAAATAAATTTCTTTGAGGATCATTGAAAGTGTGATTTAGTGTATCGTATTTCATTTTGTTTGGAAAGATGCTGAAGCATATAGCTGATTGTAGTAGCTTTATAAATCCTGCAATTACCAAGCTAAAATCTGAATATTAGAAAATTATCAAAGGGCTCTTTTATAGATAATGACTAATTTTGTGAATGATTTTATAATTCATTGGTCTAGATTCTTTCAAACATTGCTTACTAAAATATCTCTAGATAAATTATGGGTGTGTGGCTTTAATGGGAATATTATCGTATGTGCAATTAGAACAGCAGTTCCCAACCTTTTTGGCACCAGGAACTCATTTCCTGGAAGACACTTTTTCCATGGAAGGATGGTGCAGCGGGGGGTGGATAATTTCGGGAATAAAACTGTTACACCTCAGATCATCAGGCATTAGAGTCTCTTAAGAAACTGGCAGCCTAGATTCCCCGCATGTGCAGTTCACAATAGGGTTCAGGAATCTGTGAGAATCTAATGTCCTTGCTGATCTGACTTGGGCGCAGTTCAGGCGGAAATGCTCACTTGCCTGCTGCTCACCTCCTGCTGTGCATCCTGCTTCCTAACAAGCCATGGACCGCTACCAATCCCTGGCCCCGGGATTAGGGACCCCTGATTTAGATGTTATTTTTGGTCGGGCGTGGTGGCTCACTCCTGTAATCCCAGCACTTTGGGAGGCCAAGGCGGGCGGATCTCTAGGCCAGGAGATGGAGACATCCTGGCTAACGCGGTGAAACCCCATCTCTACTTAAAATACAAAAAAGGAGCCGGGCGTGGTGGGGGCGCCTGTAGTCCCAGCTACTCCGGAGGCTGAAAGAGGAGAATAGCTTGAGCCTGGGAGGCGAAGGTTGCAGTGAGCCGAGATTGTGCCGTTGCACTCCAGCCTGGGCGACAGAGGGAGACCCCATCGCAAAAAAAAAAAAAAAAACCAACTTATTTTTAAAAATTAGCTCAACCACTGATTGAATTCTACATCTTGCTTTTGCTGTCAAGAATCTAAAGTGATATCTGAGACACATAACATACACTTATTTGGTAAAATGGTACTTACAAAAAGATTTATATATCTATATCAATACAGCCTAGAATACAGGGCAGCAGTATAAATACAAACTTGTAAAAGAATGACCATTTAGATAGACTATAAATACAGTAATGTTGTTAATATTTTAAAAATATAGTAGAAAAGAATAATCATAACTTTGTTTTCAAAACATTTTAATGTTAAAATCAATGCATTGCTTACAGTAAAAGACAAAATGTAATTAAATGTACTAAAAAATTTTAGAACAGTGGTAAGTTTTGAGTTAAAGATAAACCTCCAAGGTTTTTTTTTTCTAGATTTTTGTGTACTGTACTACCATGGCCCACTGCATAATGCAGTGCTCTGATTTTTCTAAAAGTGGTACAGTATATCTCTTATGAATAACATTTAATATGTTATATTCTTTGTGTTAAAAATATTACAGCCCAAAGATTTTCAGTTTAAGAAATGTAAAGGTAAAATTGATTGACAAAGAAATGAAAAGCCAAACTATTATCTTATATATTTGCTTTTATATTATTTCAAATAAACTACCAATTTCATACATTTTACTAAAATTACTTAATATTCTGACACCTCTAAGTTTAGAAGAAATCTCTAAATTTTTGGTAGTTATGGTATTCTTTATAATATGTCTACATGTCTCTAACAATACATCGCTCAGATTTCTTTGTATATTATTTAATTTTTTTGTTTATAATGACTTTGTTTAAAAGCCAGGTTTCTAAATTGAGAAGATAACTATAAAGATTAAGTAGTTAAAGTTATGCATCAAATTATTTACAAATTCAAACATATAATTAGAACACCTGAGAATACTTAATACAGCTTGAATGTAACTTGAGATTATGCTTTAATTTAATATAAATTTTAGATTCAACCAAAAACCATCTAAGAACTACATGCATGCTTCTAAAACTGCATTAATCTTGTTTGCAGATAATTCTATTTATGTTAAAAGAACTGCCTACAAAATTACTTGCAATTATTTTTATAACAGTAAATATTGTCAGGAAATGTGCTTTTAAAAAATGTCAAAAATAAAAGTGAGAACTCTGCTAATAGTGCTATAGAAGTAAATTAGTGTTTGTGCTTGAATATAACTCATCAGGTTTTGCTATGATAGTGCTACATAACAAAAAAATCTGAAACTCAGTGTGTTACAGAAACTAACATTTATTAATTGCTCATAGATCTATGCATTTATTACTTCTTTTCTACCTCACTATACTGTGATTTGCTAAGATTCTATATGCTAAATTCAGCTAAGACCTGCCTAAGGCTGAGTGCTAAGATTGAAACTATTCCACATTTCTCCTCATTCTGAGACACAGACTAAAGGATCACCTCTCATCTTGGACATGGAGTTTTCATGAAAGAGGAAAGAACACAAGAGGTAAACAGAAACACACACCACCTATTACTGTTTCTGCTTACAACTAGCACATATTACTTCAGCTCAGGGGACATCTGTCTTCTTTCAGGAATTCATTAGGAATATTTCTACCCCCAAGGTATTTCAAGTTGCAGTTTTATCCAATTCTATTCCATTATTAAAAATGGGTTGAAAATTTTGAAGTCTACAGTAATAGTCTAATTGCTGAGCCCTACATATCTCCAATGTCAGTGTCACATATTTCAGGTTTTGTTGTGGCAGCATCCCACCTCTGTCACCAATTTCCATAATAGTTTGATTTTGTTATAATTCTACATAGTGTTCAATCCCCAAACTCTTTGGCTTACAATACCTTGAATTTATTTCTTGCTTCCAGTGTTTAAAGATTTGCTGTAGTTCTTCAGAACTCTATTGTAAGCCTGCTAGAACTTGGTGAACTTGGATGTAGGATGCAAGTTGGGTACAGGACAGCTCCACATGTCCCCTCACTTTGGAAACCAAGACAAAGGAGAGTATCTTATATAAGACTTGTTCTCTTGGTAAAAGAAAGAAATCTAGGTGAAAGAAAACTTGGTAAAAGAAAGAAAACTGATTATGTCTCTGAGAATCTCTGCATAGTACAGACAAACTCTGCTGTCCATATTCCCCTGTCAAAATTAGTTACCCAGCTAAGGCAAAAGTCAGGGAAAAGGTAGACTGTTTTTCTCCACACTAAACCATGGCAAGAATGGGAAAGAAAGGACCATGAATAAATTCATACAACCTACACACTGACTAAACTAGATAAATACCCCTGCATTTTTCATGCTGTTGACATTAGTCTAACTTATTTGAAAAATCAGTACTATTACAATAATTTCACTAAACTAGATAAAACCATTATCATGTTAACTCATTGTGGCTTTGTGTTTTGCAAATTTAATACTATCATCTTGTACACAAATCATGTATTTTAAATATATGGTTTTCAATCTCCATATAATAAAATGATGCAAAGAAGCTTGATATTTCTAAAAATAATGGCTGAGGCATCTCTTATTAAATAATAATTATAATTATAGTGATAAATACTTAAAGAGTATCATAATATTCAAATCAGGTAAGTGTTTTTAACAAAATTGTTTGTTTCACTAATCAATTTCTCCAACTATATATTATCTTGTGTTGGAAGATAAAATTGCTAATATATTCAGTTCTTTAAAGGTTTGTAACAGTGATGGCTTGAGGATTTTTACTTGCTTGTTAGTTATTAATGTACACATAAACTCACTGAAAAATGAAGCTGTGTTTGCCTACATGCTTAATGCCATTCTGCCTATATTTTTATCACCAGGAAAGAATGTGTGCAATAATTGCAATCCTTATACTTCAGCTTTTGCAAGCATCTAGCAAAGTTATGAATAAAAAATATTCTACAGTAATTTTGAAACAAATCTGTGGTCAAGCAGTTAGACCTACCTATATGTATATTTTACTTTTAAACTTATTTGAATATGAAAGATATCTTAGTCTGTTTGTGCTGCTATAACAAAATGCTTAAGACTGCTGGATAATTCATAAAAAACTTTTTTTTTTTTTCACTGATCTGGAGGCTGGGAAGAGTAAGATAAAGGCACCAACAGGCTTGCTTTTCTGGTAAAGACTGTTCTCTACTTCCAAAATTGTGTCTTGTTGCTGCATTTTCCAGAGGGGAGAAATGCTGTGTCTTCATATGGAGGAAGGCAGAAGAGCAAGGGAGCTGAAGGCTGCATGAAGCCACTTTTATAAGGACCTTAATCTCATTTATGAGGGAAGAGCCCTCATGACTTAATCACTTCTTAAAGGCCCACTTCTTAATAATATCACATTGATCATTATGTTTCAATACCTGAATTTTGGAAAAAACACTTTCAAACTATAGCAACAGGTTATTAATTGCTTTACATCAATATTTTATTAAAGTACGTTATAAACTAAATTTGATGTACATATTAGAAATTAAAATCTTTGTTCAAAACATGTATTAAGCAAGCACAATAGGATGAAGACTATGTATGTATGTATATATGTGTATATATATATGTAGTATTCAAATATATGTTATATTTTAAACTTATGCCAATCTTAATAATTTTGAAATTACATCAAATGTTTTTGTACCTTTTACTAAGTCTTAACCATTTGCTTAGGGAATAGCCAGTGGTCCTCCAAAATGCATCTTCTCTTTCTTATGCTAACATGGCTAGATTATATTTCCAACTTCTGTTGTATCACAATGTCTCCATATGACAAAGTGATTGTCAGTAAAATGTGAGCAGAAGTAATATTTCCCATTTCTGTGTTTATTCCTAAAAATGGTAGCCTTACACTTTCTAATGATAGAATAGTTAGAACACAGAAGTGATTCAGCTTTGATTGCTGAAACAATAAGAATGCTTTATGGGCTGTGACTGAAACATGATGGAGGAAATCTAAGTATCTGAATGTCCATATAGAACAGGGTTGTCCTGTAAACATTAACTATTAACCTACAACTATTACATGAAAATGAAATAAATATCTCTGTTCTTTTAAGCACTAAATTATGGGGATTTTCTGTTAGCATCAGTGAACCCGTGAAGCCTGAATATCTGAGACAGGACTCAGTTAATTTAGAAAGTTTATTTTTTCAAGGTTGAGGACGTGTGCCCACGACACAGACTCAAGAGTTCCTGACCACATGTGCCCAAGGTGGTCAGGGCACAGCTTGGTCTTATACACTTTAGGGAGACAGGAGACATCAATCAATATATGTAAGATGTACATTGGTTCTGTCCAGAAAAGCGCAACAACTCAAAGCAGGGAAGGGACATCCAGATCACAGGTAGGTGAGAGACAGTTACATTCTTTTGAGTTTCTGACTAGCCTTTCCAAAGTAGGCAATTAGATAATGCATTTATCTCAGTGAGCAGAGGGATGACTTTGAATAAAATGGGAGGCAGGTTTGCCCTAAGCAGTTGCAAGCTTGACTTTCCCTTTTAGCTTAGTGATTTTGAGGCCCCAAGATTTATTTTTCTTTCACAAAGCCAAGGCATAGTAATTTTTATATTACATTCCTAAACAGCACATGCATAGTCATTAGAACAGAATCCTGTCGTCTAATGTGAAATCTCTATTCACTTTTTCATCACGTGGGTTAGTCAATAATACCTTGTTGATCATGGGAAGGATAGATCTCATCTTACATTATTTTGCACAACTCATGCCTCCGTTCCCCAACCCCAGGTACCAATATGAAAAAGACCACTGCTAAGGTATGCGTATGTAAAAACATAAGTCAGTTTTGAAATAATTCATTTAAAGATAAAACGCATCATTCCAATCTTCACCTTCATTTTTACTTTATCTTTTCATGAGGAGGTCCTTCAAAAATAAAATGTAGTTGAAAATGTACTGGAAAACAAATGATATTTAACATATTTGAGAGCTTTATACACAAAGCCTGAAAATTCATTTTGCTAGAAATTATAAAAGATTAAAGATTTCACTTTTCTATGTCTTAAATATTTATCTTGAGATGTAATAAGATACTGTATCATTTTTCAAAACTATAGTGACTATTTAAGCTACAGAGAAGACCATTATCTAATACGAAATAATCTATCTAGTATATTATGCATATAGTGAATTCTATTTTCCAATTTAAGCCTCGAAGGACAACTACAAGGAGCAGAGTCATAGGCATTGACATAAAAGCATAAGAATAAATACATATTTCTGTACAAAATGAATTTGAAATTTATTTTCACTTTCATTTAAATATAGATCAAATAAAGTCATTTTAGTGTGTAATTTTGCTGACTCCAATTTTTATTTTCTCATCCAGGCATATAACAATATAAAAGCAAAGTTAATTCTTAAGCAATTGCTCATTAACTTCAACTTGATGTAATAATAAGAATTCCCCAGAGGAACTATCATCACTGATGGCTTATGTGTCCATAGTTTGGGTTCCCCCAAGTGTAGTACTGAGAAGCACAAGTAAGGAAGTGGGAAAGGTGGGACAAAGAAAAGCCGATAAATAATGTATGAATGAACTGATTGCTCCTGAAGTCAGCTGAAGCTAAATCCTGCTGGGATCTTGGTGCCCTCTGGAAATATCATGGAACAGACCCCAGGATAGTTTTATCAGAGGTCAGGTTTTTCTACTAACTCTCTTAGTGAATTGTTGAGGGTCACTCCCCGTGGGTGGCAACTCCACGACACTACAGCCATTGCATCTGGCAATAGGGAGTAAGCTCACTTGGCACTGGGCAAAGATCTTATGCAGAAAAGGGGCTGGGCGCAGTGGCTCATGCCTGTAATCCCAGCACTTTGGGAGGTCGAGGCAGGCAGATGACCAGAGGTCAGGAGTTCAAGACCAGCCTGTCCAACATGGTAAAACCCCATCTCTGCTAAAAATACAAAAAAAAAAATTAACCATACATTGTGTCAGGCACCTGCAATCCCAGCTACTCCAGAGGCTGAGGCAGGAGAATCGCTTGAACCCAGGAGGTGGAGGTTGCAGTGAGCCGAGATCACGCCATTGCACACCATCCTGGGCGATAGAGAGAGGCTCTGTCTCAAATATATATATATGTGTGTGTGTATATATATATGTGTGTATATATGTGTGTGTATATATATGTGTGTATATATTTGTGTATATATGTGTATATATGTGTGTATATATGTGTATATATGTGCGTATATATGTATATATGTATGTATATATGTGTGTGTATATATATGTGTGTATATATATGTGTGTGTATATGTGTGTGTGTGTGTGTGTGTGTGTGTATATATATATATATATCTTAGGCAGAAAATGGAGACAGATGCAGAACTTTGAGCTAAGAATGGTGGAAACTGTTTGTAGGCACCCATAAACTCAGGTGGCCCTAGCAAATGTTCTGGTTCATCAATAGCACACTCTATTATATATCTATTATACTTTAATTGTTCATTCAGTCACCCCATATTTATGAAACACTTTTTATTAGGAAAGATCAGTTCTAAATGCTTTGAAAATAGCAATCACCAAAATAAAATCCATACTCTTGTGGAAATTTTAGTCTAGTGGGAGAGACAGAGATTAAAATAAATCAAATAATTATGTAAATAATAGAGATAATAAAATTGTCTACATCCTCCCACCCTCACCCCAAGCACTGAAGAGTGACAAGCAGCAGGTTTTGGTTCTTGATAAGTCAGTTTTTATAGATACCTGTAAGAAATGAAATGGACTGCCTCTTGAATTAATAATTGGACTCTTATGCATCAACTCTGTGTTCAAGTCTGGTTCAATTTTTGCTTTGACATCACCTGCACGTTTGAGAAGAAAGAAAAGCCCAGAAGTTGCAGAGTTTAGGAAAATAATGAACGAGGAAGTAACAGTGAAAGAATGTTCTCTTGGTGCAGGTCTCCAAGGCATAAGTAAGTCTTGAGCTAAGGAAAGACAAAATCCATGAACTAAAAGTGAGATTTAAATTTTAAATTGAACTATACTGTACTCATATTTTAATATCTGAAAGCAACACATAATTCCTGATATAAAATTTGTTTCTGCAGCTGAAAGTGATGGCTTCTGTATTAGGAGTCATTCAGGGAGGAAGAAAAAAGGAAATTAAACAGTTTAAGGACAGTGTTTGGATAAAAATATGGATATTTCTTAATTGTACTCTTTCTAGGTTGGTACATTTAATCAGATATTTAAATAGTTTTAAATAATGTATACCATTTACAGTATTAACAATATAATACAAAATATTAATGTATACCATTTACAGTATTAACAATACAATAAGTACCTAAAATAACTCTAATGAAATATTTACAGGACTTTATTAAAAAAGTAAATCATAATAAATAGTATTAAATGATATTAAACTCAAAAAACAAATGGAAAGATATACTTAAATTTATTTTTATGGTACAAATTATTAGTATGTTAATTATCCCCAATTAGTTTTTTAATTTTTGAAATTGAAATTAAAACACTGTATTTCCTCTACTTTTTAAAATTTTTACTCAAAAAATATAATCCAGGTAGATTAAAGGACTAAATGTAAAAAGGAAAACTTATAGAATAAAATAGTACAGGGAAACTTTAGTCACATAACAAGTAAGGGATGACTTTTTAATGAAAGATGTAAAAACTACAAAGCCTATAAAAATCAGACTGGTGAAACTGACATTAAAATTTAAAATGTTTAGTCAAGAAAACATACGAGCAAGCTGAAATGAAAACAAGATACTGCGAGAACACAATTTTCATATACTCATATCACTATTTGTATACACCTACAGCATCTTCACCTGATTTTATGCCTTAAAGATCAGTTTTTTCTTGTTCCTATGTAAAACCAAACTTCCCGCTTGTGCACTAAATTTTGCCCCTCCTTTCCACCAAAGAACTTGCTCTAGTAATTCTTCCCTGTGATAAAAGAAAAACTTTAGCCAAATTAAATTTAAAAGAGTTTAATGGAGCAATAAAGGATTCTTGAATTGGGCAGCCCCCAGAATCACAGCAGATTCACGGAGACTCCAGGAGTGCCTCATGGTCAGAAAAAAATTATAGACAAAAAAGATAAAGTGACGTACAGGAATCGGAAGTGAGGTGTAGAAACAGTGAGATTGGCTACAGCTCGGCGTTTGCCTTATTTGAATGCAGTTTGAACACTTGGCAGTCTATGAGTGGTTGAAGCATGGCCGCTGGGATTGGCTAACACTCAGCTGTTGTTACAGTACATAGTATTAAGTTAGGTTTTCAATTTTGTCTGACTATTAAGCTAGCTTACAGTTCATCCACAAGGACTCTAATACAAAAGTATGAAGTCCTTCTCAGACCATATGTAGTTTGCTTTAACAATTCCCCCCTTTTGGTCATTTTCTCAAATTTGAGAGATTGACCAAAACCTTAGTCATTAATGTTATGATCACTATCATAAATGTACTTATATGTTTGTGAAACCCACTGGGAAACAGTGGAGCAGCATATTTTGCAAGGAGGGAATAAAGGCTGAGTAGAGAGGGTAGTACCTCCTTATGCGGGAACATCCTGTTTACAGGAGAAAAACAAAACCTTGTCTGTTCTAGGATCTATGCTTTTTCTTAAAGCCTTAGTTTGATTATGTCACATTTAGCACGAGTGACTCCATTATAGTTTGGTTTGATTCGTTGGGGCCTAGGGCATGAACTTAGTCCAAAATAATGGCCTCCCAAAATTCTGTTTTTAAAAAAATTCCCCCCTTATGGCTAGCTTCCCACCTAGGTGAGAGTATGACCAAAACTTAGGTCCTTAATGCCACTCTCAGTTACCATCATTTTAGGTTTCTGGTCTCAGTGTGTCATTCATAGGTTACGGTGTCCTCATGATCACACATTTCTTTCAGCTTTTGTCATTCCAGTTGAAGAGAGACCATATGATGTTCTAGAAATGAGTGCATGCAAACATTTAAAATCTTTGAGAGAATATAGTGCACCAGGGAGACTACTATGGCTTGCTTCTTACCCAGCGTCCAGATAAACCAAACCACCAAAAATTAAGTAGATTAAAGAATGACTAGATGAAGAGTCTGCCCATGTGACTAAGTGGTTTTTTTTCATTAATCCCCTACAATTGAATTTTTATAATCTACATTTGATGTATTTATCCATAGGCCACAAGTGCCAGCAGCTGCACAGGTACTTTTCTGTTTAGCCAATTTTATTATTTCATATAACTTTCACAAGAGAATTTAAAGTCTGTTGTGTAACAATAGCCTTTAAAGTACAATTTGCTGTAGAGCCTATTATGAGGGAGACATTTCTAATTAATGCCTCTTTTATTCTAAACCATGGAAAAAGGACCTAACAAATGATGTCCTTCTAAAAGAATGAAGGCCTCTTGGCAATATTCTCTGTAATCTATGATGTGGGTTAAGAGGAGTTTTGACTGATTATGAGGCAATGTATTTACCACTAAAGTTTCTCACCTACATTGGGCCTTTATCTTTTATCTATTAAAGTCTAAGTTCATTCATGTATAAAGCTGGCTGCAAAATTCTTCACAAAAGTATACCATGTAAGTGCACATAATGGACCCCCTTTTCATTTCTATTGTTTGTAGAGGCATAAACAAGGAAAAACATATTCAAAGATATGAGTCTCGTGATAGTAGAAGTATTGATCTGTGATCTTGGGGAAAGCTGTTTACATTGAGGATGCCATCTTCTTCTGCGGAGAAATTTTTCTGGTTAGTTTTACCTTAAGGGTTCCAATGGGTGTACAGTTCCAGGAGTGTGGAGGGACCCTTCTCAGTTGTGAGATTATGAACCTAAGGTTCAAGGCTCCAAAGTTAAGTTTTGCTGCAGTGTGGATGGCCAGGATAGTCTATCTCTGATGTTCTCAGAAGATCCAGTCTTCAGGTTCTAGATTGTGAAGGGATTGTCCTCAGTGAACCATAAGAAGCTTTTTATTTACCTGGTGAATATATACTGTAGCATAATAATTTACTGTTATAACACCAGCCCTCTTGCATTGGAAAGCTTTTATACAAACAGAAAACATGCAATAAAAGTGACAATTGAATGAAATCCCTTTATAAATGTTTAAATGGCCCATCAGGTAGCCAAATGTACCTGAAGATTTGATTGTCTTTCCAGTAATATGTAACCAAACATTGGTTTTAAACTATTTCTGCAATTTATAAATCATCACATCTATATATTCAATTTGGATTATTTTATCTTTTCCATGACGAGTCATGGAATGCAGAACATTTAATAACAAAAGCTTTAAGGACTCAGGAAAGCTAAGGTGGCTGTCCTGGTTTCTTATGAGTCCATGCTTAACATTGGACTTAGGTCTTCTTGAATACCAGTTGTTTCTCCAATTTAGGTGCATAGCACTGATAACTAATAACTTACCACAGGTAATTTGAATTAGCCCATGAAGTTCATTCAAATTGTATATTTAAACCATTTTAGTATTGGCTGATTTAGCATGATAGTCTAGAGCCCGATTTAGCCAAAATGATAACTCAAAATTTTTAAAAGAAGAAACGTTATTCTGATAGAGAGGACTCAGGTTTCCAAAGAAGACCCAGTGAAGATAGCATGAGGCCAGCTGACTCTGTCTCCTTTCTTTCCCTTCCCCCATTTTTTCTTTTGTAGTTTACTTAAAATGTAAACAAAAACCTTTCATTATCTTTTAATATTACATAAAAATCATTTTTAAAAGAGAAAACTAAATTTTATATTTCCATTAGTGTATGTTTAATGTTAAAGATTGTTTTTAATAACATTTTATAAATCCCATTTAGTTTTAATTAGTTTGACCATAAGGTAAGTTTTTTATTAATCTTTTATAACCCTTTACAATTTTTTTTCTCAGAGAAGAACAGTGTTCTAAGAAAACTCTGTTGTGCTTTTATTCCAATGTCCAATTTATGGAAAAAACTGAATAATGCTATTTTAACTTTAGTCAATATGTTCACACATAGAATCTCTTACAATTAAGTATAAACTTTCCACAACTTGTTCAAACCTTTTGCTTTATTTAATTTAAAACAATTATTTAACCCTCTAACCTAGGCGAAGATTTACATTCCCATACTTTCTTATAATCTCTTACAAAAATCAATTTCATTCTACTTACACACCTTGCATGTGAACTCATTTCTTCAGTAGTCTCAATTACATATTACAATGTTAACTCATAACGACTTTTATTTTTGGTGAAAACCTTGTTAAGTAAGGGATTTTAGTTATGTACTAGGTGTGGAGCCTAAGACCCAGACAGAAATGCAGATAAGGCCTGACTTTCCAGTGTGTAACTCCACGTGTCCCAGGCCTTACCTAGATGGAAAGCAGGCAGGCTGTACAGTTAAGAGCCATAATGGCATTTTATGAAGCATTTAGGAGGCCTAAACACCTTTAAATTGTACAACATTTCTGGCATAAATTCCTTTTCATAATTCTTTCATGACTTACACAGACCATGTATGACATGTTTAGACTTTCTGACTTAACCTAAACATCCCTCTTTTTAAATAACCAGTCATTTTACTTTAGGACAAGAATTTACCATAAAACATCCTTTCTTACACAAAATCTCTTTACTTTATCACCTTCTTTGCATAGCTAGGGGGCACAGCTAATTTCTTATATCCCCAGGCCTTATTTAGAATTTAATGTTTCCATTTTTTAATTATTATTATAGTTTAAGTTCCAGGGTATATGTGCACAACGTGCAGGTTTGATACAAAGGTATACATGCACCATGTTGGTATGCTGCACCCATCAACTCATCATTTACATTAGGTATTTCTCCTAATGCTATCTCTCCCCCAACCCCCCACCCCACAACAGGCCCCAGTGTGTGATGTTCCCCACCCTGTGTCCAAGTGATCTCATTATTCAATTCCCACCTATGAGTGAGAACATGTGGTGTTTGGTTTTCTGTCCTTGTGATAGTTTGTTGAGAATGATGGTTTCCAGCTTCATCCATGTCCCTGCAAAGTATATGAATTCATCCTTTTTATGGCTGTATAGTATTCCATGGTATATATGTGCCACATTTTCTTAATCTACTCTATCACTGATGGACATTTGGGTTGGTTCCAAGTTTTTGCTATTGTGAATAGTGCCTCAATAAACATATGTGTGCATGTGTCTTTAGAGTAGCAGGATTTATAATCCTTTGGGTATATACCCAGTAATGGGATTGCTGGGTGAAATGGTAATTCTAGTTCTAGATCCTTGAGGAATCGCCACACTGTGTTCCACAATGGTTGAAGTAATTTACACTCCCACCAACAGTGTAAAAGTGTTCCGATTTCTCCACATCCTGTCCAGCATCTGTTGTTTCTTGACTTTTTAATAATTGCCATTCTAAGTGGTGTGAGATGGTATCTCATTGTGGTTTTGATTTGCATTTCTCTGATGACCAGTGATGATGAGCATTTTTTCATGTGTCTGTTGGCTGCATAGATGTCTTCTTTTGAGAAGTGTCTGTTCATATCCTTTGGCCACTTTTTGATGGGGTTGTTCATTTTTTTCTTGTAAATTTGTTTAAGTTCTTTGTAGATTCTGGATATTAGTCCTTTTTCAGATAGGTAGATTGCAAAAATTTCTCCCATTCTGTAGGTTGCCTGTTCACTCTGCTGATAGTTTCTTTTGCCATGCAGAAGCTCTTTAGTTTTGCTGGATCCCATTTGTCTATTTTGGCTTTTGTTGCCATTGCTTTTGGTGTTTTAGTCATGAAGTCCTTGCCCATGCCTGTGTCCTGAATGGTATTGCCTAGGTTTTCTTCTAGGGTTTTTATGGTTTTAGGTCTAACATTTAAGCCTTTTATCTGTCTTGAATTAATTTTTGCGTAAGATGTAAGGGAGGTATCCAGTTTCAGCTTTCTACACCAAAATAAATTGAACAATTTTCAAAAGTCAAAGTAGTTTATGACCTTAAAGCATTTAGCAAGCCTAATATCTGACCTGCACAATTTTAACAAATGCCTTTATTTCATCAATCATCTTTAAAGCTGTTTTTATTTTCCAAAGATTACTAAAGCTACATGAACTAAAAGGCATTACCGTTTTCATTTTGATTTTAAAATATTTGATTTAAGCACTTATTTTTGTTTAAGCTAATTAATTAGAGCTCTTTTACATAAACAGTACACACAGTACATATATAATTACACAGACAAAGATTACTACAGTAGTTGTAAGATTTTTTATTTGTCAGTTTTTAAATTTCTTAATTGGTTATTTGCTTTATGTTGGAGTGCTTGAAAGAACAGGACCAGGAAAGGGGTTTCTAGTGCCTCCTGTTTTTCCCAGGGAGTCCAGCCTGTGAGAGCTTGAATATCTACTTTTAATTAAACTGACTTTTAACCATAGCACTTTTTAATAAAGTCCTTTTGAAACTTTTTTTTACCCCAATTTTAGCCAGGCCAAATGGCTGATATTTCTGGCTATTGAACTTTTACCAAAGGTAACTTCCAGGTGTTCAGAGAAAGAAAAATTTAAGATAGCCTGTGGAGGAAAAGAGACTAGACAAGGACATGCAGATATTAAACCAGAAAGGACTTACTTCCTAAGCAGGGAATTGAACTCAGACTACCAGTGTGAAAAGGCAGAAACCTTATCTATTGAGTTGTAGCATGGGGCAATCTCTACTACCCTTCTCAGAAGGAGTCTAGAGTACTTAATTTTGAGGTTAAAAAGGATTTTAACTACTCAAGATAATTTTTATAGCTATTACATAAACGCTAAAATTCCTGCTCCCTGAAAGGCAGAGACCAAAAGAACTGCCACGTGGTTACAAGGTCAAGCTCCAAGGGACATAAAACAAGATGGAGACCCCATCCAGTTTTTTGTGTTTGTTTGTTTCAGGGACCTGAAGCAAAGTTTGTTATTGACCTGCTTATTGGGCCGTCTTGAGCAGCAAGCTTATGGGGTCCTAAGTTCATGTTTTTTCCTAAAGTACCCCTCAACACAGAAAAATGAATTCACAGCACAAATACATCAGTTTCATACTGGCCTCAGAATTCTTTTTGGCATTAATCAGAACTTTACAGAAGAGACAAACAGTCATTTTTACCATTCATTCAACCGTTTGCACAGAGAGACCAAAGCCAGTAATCTGACTGGTAAGAAATTCTTACCCTTTTGCCAGCATGCCAGGCTTCTGGGTTCCCTTTCCCTGAGTGACCTCAGTGACTCAGCTTGCCACACCATCGCGCTGGGGGCCAAGCTGCATTATAAAGGAACATTACCTTTTTACGTTCTGGCAAGAGCAAAATACATGTAATAAAGCTTAGACATTAGCCACTTTGCTTAGCACCCAAAACCAAGCTGGCAAAGCTTAAATTTGCCCTCAGATGGGCCCCATCATCTTTAATCCAACCTTCGACTAGAAGTTTCAGTATGTGGTCTCTGATCAAGGTGGTTGCCTTGAGTAACAGAAAAGATAAAAAATGGAAAGGAGAGATAAAAGCATGGGAGGCCAGAGAAAGATTTATCCATTGCAGTGACACTGAAAAGTTCAGGCAGCTGTGGCTGCTGTCATGAAGGAATCTTTTCCCAACAGTCCCATCAGCTCTCAAGTTTCCCTTTTTTGAGGGGGAAGGAAAACACTCCCCATGCCCCACAAACCTGTACATGCCTAATTTTGTCATCCACAGCCATCAGCAAAGGATGCAAGGCATATTATTCCAAAGAGAATAGCAGTTGACATCACGTAGTGCCAAATCCATTCTTAGCCAAAAGCAGGTTTACCAACAGCCCTCATTTTTAAATGTACTTCAATGCATTGTTATTCATTCGGAATGTTCCACTGTAAGTTATCTTTAGTAAGATCTCACCATTTCTGCAAGACTTAGCTGCCTCCCAGGCCTAATGTATAAGCCAGAAGGAACTCAGTTTTCCAGCAATTAAAGATTCCATTTTTACCTAAATTATTGGCTTTACTCTCAGGTTATATTGATTAACTTAGCCAATGATGTTTCCTACCTAAGTGCACAAGGAAAATGAAACAAAGGGGTAGAACACAAAATCTCTGTGAATTTTAAAAAGCCATATTTTATAACCTCTGCAATATTACTGCTTACTACCAGTTCCTTTCTGACCTATTCAGATGTAGGAGGCCCCTAACTGGATCCAAGCCAGTTAATCAAATCCATTCCTAGACCCAGTCCAGTTTCTATCATGACTCCAAACCCAGTTTGGGTCAGAAATTTGCTCAAAGAAACTCAAAGGGCTCAAAACATAAATCCCTGGAGCTCCAAAATCTGAGAGGGAGCTTTCCCGCAATCCCCAGCCACTCAGAGATCAGTGTACACAAGTGGATCCTGCAGGTACCTTTCATGTTCACTGAGCACTCCTGGGGGTTGCTAGAAGCTCCACTTTGGATCCTACTTCTGAAACCATCTGATAAAAGAAAAATTTTAGCCAAGTAAATTTAAAATAATTTAATTTAGCAATGAAGGATTTGCAAATCAGGCAGCCCTCAGAATCACAGCAGATTCACAGAGACTACAGGGGTGCCTTGTAGTCAGAACAAATTTATAGACTAAGAAGGTAAAGTGACATATAGGAATCAGAAGTGAGGTACAGAAACAGCAAGATTGATTACAGCTTGGTGTTTGCCTTATTTGAACACAGTCTGAACAGTCCGCAGTCTATAAGTAGTCAAAGTATGGGCACTGTGATTAGCCAACACTCAGCTATTGTTACAGTTCATAATATTAAGTTAGGTTTTCAATTTTGTCTGACTATTAAGCTGGATTACAGTTCATCCACAAGTACTCAAATACATAAGTATGGAGTCATTCTCAGGCCATATTTAGTTTGCTTTAACACCTGTTTCATCTATACATCCTATTTTCTCTACTGGATCATTTTCATTTGCTTTGATGTGTGCTGTATTTTTCCTATTCTATATATAAAATAAAATATAAAATTTATCTTGAACCTGTTTTCTGCATTGTCTTGCTCCCATGTTGTAGCAAAAACCTTTGAATGACTTTTCTATCCTCACCCGCTCTCCTCTCAACCTCTCTTAAGCCAATCCACTTAGACTTTTGCCCCACAGACACAATGTCCATGACTTCAGTGTTTTTCAATCATCATCATATTTGACGCAATAATACCATTTGTCACTGTTGGTTGTGCTCTTTGCCTTCATTCATGTTCTTTAACTTTTCCTGATTTTCGTGACTCCTCTCTATAGCCTCTAAAACTCCCCATTTTACTCTGACTTCATATGAATGGTCTTTCTTTACCTTGAAAAGTCCATGGCCGGGCGCGGTGGCTCACACCTGTAATCCCAGCACTTTGGGAGGCCGACGCGGGCGGATCATGAGGTCAGGAGATCGAGACCATCCTGGCTAACACAGTGAAACCCCACCTCTACTAAAAATACAAAAAAATAGCCAGGCGTGGTGGCGGGCGCCTGTAGTCCCAGCTACTCGGGAGGCTGAGACAGGAGAATGACGTGAACCCGGGAGGCAGAGCTTGCAGTGAGCTGATATCATGCCACTGCACTCCACTCCAGCCTGGGTGACCGAGTGAGACTCTGTCTCAAAAAAAAAAAAAAGAAAAGTCCATAAGGCTGTCAATGCCCCACCACAGACATCAACTCTTAATACCATGTTCTTCATTTATTACTACACAAGTCATCACTGTTTTGTCTCTCCAAAACACCAGGCATGTTTCTGCCTAAAAGCCTTTGTTCCATATGGGAACATATATAACAGACAAAATAATTGATGTTATTGTTACATGAAAAGCTTCTACTATATATTTTCATTTAATTAATTATGAACCAAATGAAAACTATCAAGTACAATACTAGAAAATGCATAAAAATATGGATACATATGTCACAATAGACCGAGAACTATGAAAATACTAAAAGAAAATCTAGAGAAAACGCTTCTGGACATTGGTCTAGGCAAATAATTCGTGACTAGGATCTCAAAGCAAAGAAACAAAAACAAAAATAGACAAATAGGACTTACTTAAACTAAAAAGCTTCTTTACAGCAAAATAAATAATCAACAGAGTAAAGAGAAGACCTGCAGAATGGGAGAAAATATTTGTAAACTATTCATCTTATAGGGGAATAATATCCAGAATATAATATACAAGGATATCAAACAATAACATTAAAAACACAAATAGCCCCATTAAAAAGTGGGCAAAAAACATGAATAGGCATTTTTCAAAAGACATACAAATAACCAATAAGCATATGAAAAATGCTGTAGATAATTATTAGAGAAATATGAATAAGAACCATCATGAGATATCATCTTACCCCAGTCAGAATGACTATTATTACAAGTCAAAAAATAACAGATGTTGGCAAGGATGTGGAGAAAAAGAAATGCTTATACACTGTTAGTGGGAATGTAAATTAGTACAACCTCTATGGAAAATACTAGGGAAATTTCTCAAAGAACTAACAATAGAACCACCATTCAATCCAGTAATCCCACTTCTGGATATCTGTCCAAAGAAAAGAGAAATCATTATGTCAGAAAGATACCTGCACACATATATTTATTACAGCATTATTCATAACAGCAAAGATATAGAATCAACCTAAGTGTCTATCAACAGGCGACTGGATAAAGAAAATTTCTCATATATATGCATGTATATAGATCTCTTAACTGTGTATGAATTCTTTCTCAGCACATACTTTGACTACCATGTCAGTACTAATCAATTAGCACTATTACATAGGTGCTTTTATGTACTTCGTGCATTACTGCTAGTCCCCATGTATATATATGTATATACACACAATGGAATACTATTTAGCCTTTAAAAAGAAGGCAATTGTGTCTTCTGCAGCAACATGGGTGAACTAGAGGCCCTTAAGTGAGACAACTCAGAAATAGAAAGTCCAATACCATATGGTCTCATTTATGAATGAGAGCTAAATAATGTGTATATATGAACATAGAATGTGGAATAATAAACACTGAAGACTCAGAATGGTGGGAGGATGGAAATGAGGTGAGGAATGAGACATTACTTAATGGGTACAATGTATGTTATTTGGATGATGGCTACACTAAAATCCCAGACTTGACCATTATGCAATATATCCATGCAAAAAAACTGCACCTGTATCCCTTAAATTTATGCAAATAAAACATAATTTTTGAATAAATGATTTCTATGTATTTTTATACTTTCCAAAATTTCTTATTATTAATTTCTAGTCTTATTCCATGCATTAAAAATATGCTTAGTTTTACCCCATAAATATATATGCCTACTACATACAATTGGGGGAACCAGCCCCCAATATTTTAACTTAGGTCCTTTCTATTTTCCCTAAGTGTTGGCCGGTCTGAGAAATACAGAGAAAGGGTACAAAGAGAGAAATTCTACAGCTGGGCCTCCAGGGGTGACATTACATATTGGTAGGACCGTGATGATGACCCTGAGCCGCAAAACCAGCAAGTTTTTATTAGGGATTTTAAAAGGGCAGAGGGTGTACGAGCAGGGAGTAGGTCACAAAGATCACATGCTTCCAAGGGCGAGAAAGATCACAAGGTGGAGGCAAAATTAGAATTACTGATGAGGGTCTATGTCCTGCTGTGCATCTATTGTCTTGATAAACATCTTAACAGGAAACAGGTCTGATGAGAGCAGAGAACCGGTCTGACTAGAATTTACCAGGCTGGAATTTCCCAATCCTAGTAAGCCCGAGGGTACTGCAGGAGACCAGGGAGTATTTCAGGCCTTATCTCAACCACGTAAGACAGACACTCCCAGAGCGGCCGTTTATGGACCTCCCCCAAGTAATGCATTCCTTCCCCGGGGTATTAATTATTAATATTCCTTGCTGGGAAAAGAATTCAGTGATATCTCTCCTACTCACACGTCCTTTTATAGGCTCTCTGCAAGAAGAAAAATATGGCTCTATTCTGCCCAACCCACAGACAGTCAGACCTTATGGTTATCTTCCCTTATTCCCTGAAAATCACTGTTATTCTATTCCTTTTTAAGGTGCACTGATTTCATATTGTTCAAACACACATGTTTTACAATCAATTTGTACAATACTGATCCTGAGGTGACATACATTCTCAGCTTACAAAGATAACGGGATTAAGATATTAAAGTAAAATCAGACATAAGAAATTATAAGAGTATTATTAGGGAAGTGATAAATGTCCATGAAACCTTCACAATTTATGTTCAGAGATTGCAGTAAAGACAGGCATAAGAAATTATAAAAGTATTAATTTTGGGAACTGATAAATGTCCATGAAATCTTCACAATTTATGTTCTTCTGCTGCAGCTTCACTCTGTCCCTCCATCTGGGGTCCCTGACTTCCCGCAACGGACACCCAAAAGATAAAAAAGAAAAGGAAAAAAAAATCATAAATAAGCAGTAAGTATATGTACAAATGGACTGCTAGTGGCAGTGTAATTCTTACAATCTTTAGAGTTATTTAATAATTTAAATCAAGAGCCTCACATTTTTATTAATATTCTTTAAACAATAATTCCTCATTAAATGATATATGTTAAGGAAATAAATATGTGAATTTTTCAAACACGCATTTCTTCACTTTGTTATTGTTTATTTTAATCAAATGTTGGACAGTTTAATTCAGTTAATTGTTAATTTTTAAATTAATAGTAATAAAAAGTCTATTTAGCAGCTCTCTAAATAGTGTTTTGAAGAATATTGGGTGTTTCACAATATGAAGTAAAAACACAGCATACATGTATGACTATGTGTATGTGCATGTGTTTGTGTATGTGTGTATACCACAATAAAGAAATATATTTAAGGGCCAATTATTATTATCTTCAAGTAGTGGTATTGGTTAGAGTTTATCTTAAAATGCGTTCTTTATCTTTTGCTATATTTTAAACATTTTATAATATGAATATTATTGGGTCTCATAATTTCATAATTAACATTTTATAAAGTAATCTGTGCACTTTCATGTTTTTAATGTTGTGTTAGAAACATGATATAGGTTGTTCTGAACTTCAATTAAAACTAAAAGGAGAGACCTGGCATGGTGGGTCACACTTGTAATCCCTGCATTTTGGGAGGCTGAGGTGGGAGGATTGCTTGTGCCCAGGAGTTTGAGACTAACCTGTGCAACATAGATCCAGTCTCTACAAACTAAACAATTAAAAAAAAAAAAACCTCAAAAGCTAAAAGGAGAGAATCAAAGCAAAAAGCAACCTCATCTAGGTCAGTAGATTTGCTTATTTTAAATCTTTTGGAGATCTTATATCAAAAAGTTTTAGAGTAACAGTATCTTTTATTAATATTTGTTACATACAGCATATTAATATTAGCATTATTACATGGTTTGCTCAAGGTCATGAACTCATTTATTTATTTAAAAGTGCTTATTGAGCCATTAGTTCATGCTCAATATTGTTTTACATGCCAAGAATACAACAGTGAACAAGACAGATCCAGTCTGTGTGTCATGGAACTGCAACACTGATGGGCCCTGGATTCAAGCCCAACTTATTTGACTACAAGCTCATGGTCTTTCACTACACTAAACTGAGTCTTTAAAGTAAGCATTTTCTTGTAAATCTAATCTGAAGCTTTATATTTTTCCTTGTAGGTTTTCATTTGTCCTTGTATAAAGTGATTGATCCACTTAGCAAAAATAGCTCAGAATTTATATTCTTTGTAAATAATTCAATTAAAATCTAAATAGTGTGAATGAAATATTTCTCTTCTAGGTGTCAGTTTGCTGGTGGCCACCTGCTTAGACTGTACCTAGAAAGCTGCCAAACAAATATATTCTTTCCACTTGGTAATAGAAAACACTTTTCAGGCCATTACCTTCTGCAATGCATTTCATCTAGGCATTGATTTTAATGAAATAATAATGCACTTGGCACCAGAATATCATCTACCATCCAAAGATCTCCAAGTATATAACAAACATCAATTAAGTAGCACAATAGTTCTGTAAGAGAGAACACCATTATCACAATACTGGAATTGAATAGAACGTAGAACAGGGGAAATAATGATGGAAACCCATTTTGAACTAATCAGAAGGGTGTAGGTTGCTAAGTTTACTATGATCAGTTCAATACCTTAGTGAAAGAAGTAGTAAATGTTTTGCGGAATGGATAGGGACTGTTTTGAAAAGAAGAAAACTAAAATCCTGAAACTGAGATGTAACATTTCACCCCCTCACTTAATTTAGTATATAAATACCCTATGATAATTGGTTAAAAATTAGGCTTGGTTGGCAATTTAAGAAAACTGGAATGACTATGTTTAAAGTAACAAGAAAGCCTCTAATGCAAAAGTAGATTTGCTTATTTTAAATCTTTTGGAGATCTTATATGAAAAGGTTTTAGAGTAATAGTATATTTTATTAATATTTGTGACATATAGCATATTAATATTAGCATTATTACATGGTTTACTCAAGGTCATGAACTCATTTATTTAAAAGTACTTATTGAGCCATTAGTTCATGCTCAGTATTGTTTTATATGCTAAGAATACAACAGTGAAAGATGTCTGTACTAAACATAGAGGTTACTAGTTGAAAGACATACACAAATCAATTAATAAAAAATTATGACTATTGAAAAAGACTCAATATTTATAATAACCCAAGGTAAATTATGAGATATTTGCTTATGAAACATGACATGTTTCAAAATCCGATCTATCGAGCAAAGTATACATTGTCACCAAAGGAGGTTACTTATCAATAAATGAAAAAATAAAATTGAGGTATTGTAGTTCAATAACAATTTTCTGTGTTATATTAGGCTCTAATTACTGGATTAAAAATCACTTAATCATTTTCAACTTGACATGGTAACATTCGATCCTTCGGTATCCAAGTCAATTATATTCCTTATCTCAAATAGAGAGGGTCAAATAAAGAACTTCAGTACATTATCTGCATCCAGTGAATGTATTTATAAGAAAAGATGTCTCATTTTGTTTATCATGAAGCTTTGCTGTACTTAACTAATTTTAATAGTTGCTGCATTTTGTATACTTCCACTATTTGAAAGATTTCGAACATTTGACTGATTTGCAATTGGTAATACTTTTCAAAGGTAAAGCTGTGAAAAGACATGAGAGTTAAGAGGCTTATGTTTTGCTCAGGTAATATACTACATTTACATTCTGACAGCTCTCATAATTTGGAAAAATATATTGTGTTTATATGAAAGCTGGTTTTAGAATTACTTCAATCCTTTTAAGCACAAGTAGATGAAAAATGCTGAATGAAGATGAGATTGGTCATTAAGCCATGGAATATGCAGAGGATGTTCTAATGCATTTCTGCATTTGGATTATGTCATCCATAAAAAATAGTTTCACAGTTATTTTGATTGCCTTTTCAAAAATACTTGACAGCTGCATGCTCTGTTAATATATGAGTTCTTGGGGAATGTGAATGTTTGCTCAGTTATAATGTAATAAAGTTAAGATCATCCTATTAAAAATTAATTTAAATAACTGGGAATTCTAAACTGTTTAATATGTCAACCTAATCTTCCAAAAAGAGAACTGTTAATGTTTTAAAATGTTGCTCATAAAGCTGGAAAAGCAAGTTGTTTTTTACTTAAAAGTTAAATTTCTTAACATTCATACAATTACTATCTTTTTGAAATATTTCTCCTAAAACTTTATCTCACCTATATTCATTCTTATTTAATTATTTTTAATTTACCTAAAACATTTCACATACAGACGTATTATTTTAGGTGATATATGTGCACTCTTCCATGTTCTTTCACCATTCTTCTTGCCTTGAATAGTGAAAGCCAGCATGATCTTGGAAGTCCAGTGCTGAAGATGAAGAATTACTGTTAGTCTGAGACTCCACGTAACTATTTGAATCTGGAAACCCTCTCTTCACTCTTACCCCACAAGTATACATAAATGCATCTTTTCTCATTGACCTATAATATCTTCCCCAGGGAAGGGATAGAGGGATTGTCTCTTAATTAAGAAATACATATATATATATATATATATATATATATATATATATATATAGCTCAAGTCTTGACATTTTGATAAACATATAAAAATACACGTACATATTTTTTTCATCCTAACATCTTGCTAAACGTATGTTATATCTGTATTTTTGTTATGGCAGCTTAGCTCACCCTGACTCATAAAGAATCTTGCAATTTTCATTCGACACTTATGAAACATTCTTTTTGTTGTGCAGGTAAACACAGCTTTGTAGACTTTAATATGATTTACTTACTTATTGATTAAACTGCTTTGATAAGATCAAAAATTAATTATATGTTGATTTCTGCTTCACAGCTAGAAATATTTTGAATTTGTGCAAGAAAAACTCTAAGTACTAGTAATAGAATTCATAACTATAAAATCTTTTATTTTTATGAAGAATTCTTTTAAAGCACCCCTTTTTGGTTGAAGTGACTTACTACTCTCAATATTTCAAATATGAAATCAAATTCTTACACTACTTCTCAATAAACCTTAAAATACTGATTCCAAGTGAAAATCTAATTTGGAGCTGAAATTTTCTCTTTTCTACTTCAAAATGTTTTATGTAATTATGCTAGACTTTAGTGCTTTCTTCTGAAGCAAGTTTTCAAAAGTTTATCTCATAAAATTTTAAACATTTTAAAAAATGTAAAACCTATTATAAGACACAGCACTGTATGTTATTAAAATTTCTTTGTACCTAATTGGAAGATTATTAATACTGGTCACAATTCTAATGTTACAAAAATTTCCCAAGATATTTGTAGGAGCTCTGATTTATCAAGCAGTATACATTATGCCGTGGACATTCAAGGTCAAGGTCTCTGGCAGCCTTTGGTCTAGAGCTCTCTATATGAAGGAGTCCTAAGTGTTTTCACTATATAAGCTGAGGCAAATTACTTCCTGTTTCACTCTCTTTCTTTTTGTATGGATGAACCAAAAGAAAAAAGTTCACAAAAAATCTTGATAGGGATCTCCTGTCAAAAAGTTAGTTTATAAAGGTCCAATTTCCTGCAAAAAGAGTTTTAACATCATTTAGCGTGTGATAAAATTTAAACATTGGAAATAAGCCTCTCTATGAAGTAAATTCTATTATTTTTCTCTTAATTCAATTGTTACTTGTTTGTTTAGTGTAACGTCTTATAACTCATTTAAGCCTGCTTTCATGGTATACAAGTAAGTCAGCAATTTCTTCTCTTTGCTTGAACTGGAATTAGGATCAAAGTGTCTTGGTGCCTATCGATATGTCCCAGGGTCTAGAAGCTATTTTTTTATTCAGGAAAGATAGCTACAAGCATCTCAGAAGAGGAGTGAAGGCAGTGTGTGTTCTCATAATCTGTTCATGGAATCAACCATCCATTATCAAATACATGTCAAAAACCCTGAGTCAAGTGCTATCTCAAGTTGAAACTGCCTCTGAACTCTTAAAAATATATCTTCATACAACATTCATGCATATACACATACAAATGACTAAAAATGCTCAGATATGAAGTTTATTAGCAGGTATTTTAAATACAATAATGTTGAGAATTTTCTTTAAACTCTTGCCTCTTTTGTATGTATTAAAAATAAAGAATAAAAAACAACATAGTATAACGATTTACTATTAGATTCAGAAATAGAATAAAAATGTGAGGAGATATTGCTTACATATTATGTGTTGCCACAGTCATTGAAACCATGTGAACTAAGTTGTATTTTTCGGAAGCAGGTTCGGATTCTACTTCCAAGTGGCGGACTGAGCACACACATTTATCTCTTCTTCCCATCTAATTTCAACTTAATGTCATTGAATTAGCAGAAAATACATTTATTTTAAAATAAATAATAGCAATAAAACAGGAAATAATAAAGTTAACAAATACTGATACAAATGTGTACTTTCTAAAAGATAAAAAACAGATGAGATCATATTTGGGGAAAAAGAAATTGAAACAACAAGCAAAAAAAGGCATAAAATAAAACTGTTGCATAGGTGAGAACAGACTTTGCCATATAAGCTGCTGAGGAACTCCAAGTTTAGAATCAACAAAGAGTGAGCTGTAGCAAGACTATATCAGTACTTAATTGAAGAACTGCTTGAGAAATAAATCAACCACTCATGGCTATAGGAGTGGGTGGATAGCTATGATTTCCTCTAGATAAACTCCTAAAATCAAAGCAGTGGGTACTTGGGAACTTCTTTCACAGTTATTGGGATCAGAGAGAGAAACAGAGCAGCAAAGCTTAATATAAAACTAGATTTTCACAATAAATATAGAGGAGTAATAAGAAGAAAGAATTCAGCTCCACTTAAGATTGAAACATACTACAATGTTCATACCCCAAGTAGAGCTGTTCTGTGTTTGGTCATTATGGGGCTTTACATCTGGCTCCCTGTTCTCATAACAAGAAGGAAAATTGGCCAGTCAGCCAAAGTGATACATTTAAAAGTATTATTAGAAGAATAATTGCACCAGTGTTTTTGCATGACCATTTGTACTTCTGGGTATCTGCTCTGAAGAAACACCTGGACATGTGCACAGGTATAAATGACATGGATATTGATTTTAATTTTTAGAATGGAGAAAATAGAAACAGTACAAATGCTTATCAATAAGACACTGAGAAATTGAGAAGTAAAAATAAAATCCTAAGCTCCCCAACAAACTGAATAGATGTTGTCTTGGCCAAGGGGACCCCAGGGAAACTTTAAACCCTGAGTTCTCAGCCATGATGGGATGGGAGGTTGGACATGCCTTGTTATAACCCCTCCAGTTTGTGACTTAGACAAAACTGATCAGCATTAACCTTAAAATAGTGAACATAAGACTGACAGAACAGACTCGTTGTGGCAATAAGGCACCAAATTATAAAGACCTAAGGTCATATTTGCCAAAGTTTTAGTTATGCACCCCTACACTTAAAGAATAAACTCTTGTTCTAACTGCCACAAGATCTTTTCTTTTTCTCTAGCAGCCAAATAAGCACTAGCCTCCAGATAAGCAATATTAAAGCAATTGCAGCTCACTGACAACCAGACACTGACTAACTAGATCCCCTGTTCTACAAACCATAACTACAGCTTTGACTGGACAAAAGACTGATTTAAGCAACTTTTGACTGATAAGGGACCACCAACCATGGACTAGCTTTGGCCAGTTTACAGGGGCTGTGCACTGATTGACTTCCAGTCTCTACTTCACCTTAGATGTATAAGGCCTAATTGTAATGCACTTAAATCTTATATCTCCACCCCAAAGAAAACCTGGGTCATATGTAACATACATGTTTATTCAGTATGCATACATTAAGACTACCTCATAAATGAATAGGTATGTGTATCTAATCTCACTGGGCATAGATCTCAGATTCTCCTTTTTTCTCTGAAGTACCTGCTTTTAGTTTTAGCTAGAGGCTGCAGATTGTAACACTTCATAAGAAATAAAGCTCTGCTTTCTAAGTTTATAAAGCTTGTGATTTTTCAGTTAACACCAATAAAAAAGTATAATATATTCATACAAATCGATATTGTGTTGTCATTAAAAGTCATGTTGCATGAACATGCAAATCAGAACACTGAAAGTATTCTCTATCTTGATTGGAGTGTTGGTTTGACATTCATCAAACTGTGGTCTGTATATTTTACTGTAACTATACCTCAATAAAAATAAAATGCTGTATAAAGAAATAATAATTACTGACATGAAAATGTCTTCACTGCTGTTAGAAAGTAGCAAGTTTCAGAACACCAATGCCTATAAAACAATCCAATTTAAAACAGAAACTGATTTTGTGAAATATAAATTTGGTGATAGTCCTTATTCCCTGGCATACAGTTCCTAAAACTCTTGGAATCTTCAGAAAGATAACAGCATTTTCTTATGCTAATAAAATCCCTGGTGGCTGGGGGCTCCCAGATAGCTTCAGGATGGAGACTGGGGGCTGGAAAAAACAAGGTAGGATTAAAGGATCAGAAATTTCACCTCCACCACCCCACCTAACTTCCAGGGAGAAGAAAGACGGCCGAAGGTTAAGTTGATCACTGCTGGCCAAAGATTTAATTAGTCAAGCTTCCACAATTTTGTTTTAAACTGTGTTCTAGGAGCTTCTAGATAGCTGAATAGGTGGAGGTTCCTGGAGGATGGCAAGCCTTGAGAGGCCATGGAAACTTCACACTGTTTGCCATATACCCAACATTATGCATCTTTTTCAACTGGCCATTTATCTGTATCCTTTGTAATATCCCTTATAATAAGCCAGCAAACATAGTGTTTCCCTGAGTTCTGCAAGCTGCTCTAGCAA
Organism: Homo sapiens; assembly: GCF_000001405.40. NCBI lineage: Eukaryota > Metazoa > Chordata > Mammalia > Primates > Hominidae > Homo > Homo sapiens. The sequence continues at coordinate 120,101,756 of NC_000007.14, read as the reverse complement.
ATTAATCAAATCCAAGGAAAGGGTCATAGGAATCCTGATTCACAACTGGTCAGTCAGAAGCACAAATCATAACCCATGCTTTTGACTAGCATCTGATGTGGGGGCCAGTCTTTCAAGACTGAATCCTCAACCTTTGGGATCTGACACTATCTCCAGGTAGATAGTGTTGGGATAGAATTGAATTAGAGGACAGCCTGCTGGTGTCCACTGCAGAATTGCTTACTTGTTGTGTGGGGAAAAACTTCACACATTTGGTGTCAGAGGCATTCTGTGCTATATTGAGTGACTGTGAAAACAGAGAAAGAAAAATAAAACACACTTTTTTTCTCATATCTCTGTAAGCAAACATATTTTCATGCAATTCTACGCATAAAGAAGTATGTTTGTTTATGCATATAGGTGTGTGCATTTATAAGGGTGGTTATATTTTTAACTCACACTGAATTCAGATTGTTGTTGTCAGGGGTTATGTCTCAGAAGGGATTAAAACTTTGAAGGAGTTTTGAAAGAGAGAACTTTTCTTCTGAGTAAATACACTTCATTACTGTTTGGACTTCTCATGTGCATTTACTTATTAGGAATTTCTAAAATCGATAATGGCAACAATAATCAGTAACCACAAGGTGAAAGCAGTATTGAAATAGGAACTTTCTTCAATATTTTCTATGTGATAACTGATATTCACATCTCAGAGACATGTATCGAAAATCAACCCTCCAAACTAGGATGCGCCTTCACAACATGAATTCATATTGCTATTAATCTACAAATATGATAAGAAACAATGGGAGATAAATGATCATTTTTATTTCATCCTGCTGGATACTTCATTCATGAAATGCATGCTAGGAAATGAACAAAAGCAGGAAGTAACATGTACGAAGATGCTATAAAAACCTAAATATTGAGACTTGAATATCGTACAGCAGATTCCAGAAAATGTCTCTGGAGCTGCTTTCACTGTATATATTATTTAATATTTTACTCTCTGATCCACCCCAGTTACAAGGCATGTGCACATTCCCATTATTGTAATTTGGATGCCATTTTCAGGCCCAGGAGATTTATTGGGCAGCAAACAGAACAAAGTGCCTCCAACACTTAAAGCTTACAGGAAAACCATCATGAATTTTGTTGGGATGCCTAAAGCCATAGAAATAGGATACTTGAGGCAAAAATATTTCATATATTTTTAGAGTTTAACAGAAATGGGAATGCTTACAATGGCTAAGTAGGAGCAAATCAGTACTAAGAGTGCATATCTAGATCTATATCTAGATCCAACTATCTATCTATATGCTAAAGTGCTAAAGATGAGCAAACAAATTTGAAATTTTGCCTATCCCAGTAAGCCAGAGGAGATGACTATTCTGATATGAGTACTTAGAGTGATTAGTTAATCACTGATTCTCACACATGGCTGCTCATTAGAATCCTCTGTGTGCTTTCAAAGAACCGTCAATGCCTGGGCCCCATTCCCAGAGAATATGGTTTAATTGGCATTGTGTGTGACCTGAGAAGCAGGAATATTAAAAGACTCTTAAGTGATACTAATATGCAGTACATTTTAGTAACCAATAATTAACAAATCATTCCCAAGTTGAAATATACTCAATTAGCAAGCAACCTTTTTTCAGCAGAAACCAATGAAATAAAAGTCACTTACGTATAGTTGACAAAATATTGCTTTAGAAGTGTTTTATGTATTTCATATTACGGACTAGATGTTTGTTACATAGATATATAATTTAATAGATGAATTGTTAAAACGCGAGTGCAGGGAACCATGTTTTCATGCTGTTTAACTGAATGATTTGCTAAAGAAGCTATAGTCCTTAAGAAGAATGAAGACCATCACTCTCAATCAATGGGTTTTTCTCCTTCTATCTTAGTTCTTTGGTAGTAGCTACTCTGGCACAAAGATACACGACGGGTACGTGAGCTGAAACAGAGAATGTGGATTTTTAGGCTCTGCTTCCAGATAGACCAGCTTGGATCCTATATTGTGACTGAGCCATGCAAATAAGAAAGGAGAATGTCTGCGGAATGTCTATGTAACCTCACATTCACATTAACCTGCAGATATGAGAGATTTTTCATTATCTTTGCAGAGTTCTAGATGTTTGGCCCTTCTTCTGAGAAGTGCTATTAAGAAACAGTCCTCTGTCTCCAGAAAGCAGTCAACAATGAGGGGACATGCAGACAAGCATGTCTGATGACCAAGTTCTCTAAATATTTTCTACCAGAGAGAGGGGCTGATTCCCATTTTGGAGCCAGAATGAAGCCTAGTCTTGCCTATTCTCCAGTCAGCATCACTATGTGCCCAACCATAAAGATTTATATCCATGATGGAAGAACTAAACTCACAGGGGTAAAGATAATCTCATCCTGTCAAAGCCAAGTGCAGATAAGCTGATTATCACGGAGCGTTTGAAACAAGAGAAACTAGAAAATAGAACACTAAACATCTCTTATTATCAGCAAGTGTGCACGGCAGCTGCTGGTAATCACCAATCACAACAAGCAGATCAACAGAAAAAAGAAAAATATTGTGGATGCACCCAAATTCTAAATCTTGGCATCTAACTGAATTTAGCACAGAGGATCAGTGTGAATTCAAATATATGTGAATCACAGTAATCATGCGAAGTGCTAAATCACACGTTGCATGATTTATCCAAGATATTGAAAACATTGTATTCAGGGTACCCCAAGTTCTACCAGGCTTTTTAGGGTCAAACTTCTAAAGAGTCACATTACACATACCTCCCCACACACACTTATAATCTGTCCCAACAATCTACTATGTTTCAGCAGCATATAGCAATGATTATATTAAATAAAAACCAAACATTTGGCTGTGTGAATCAAAGTTACTGCCAAGAACTTTTATAAAAATTGATTAAATAAAAAGTCAATTCAAAAAACTGCACTTGTATATGTGTAAGTGTATACATGCACACACACAGAAATATCCAATTAGAAAATTTAATATTTCATATTTATTAAACCTACCAATAGGCCCAATCTCACGGAGATTATTAAACAATTAAGATAGGTTAGGCCAGGCGTGTTGGCTCACGCCTGTAATCCCATCACTTTGGAAGGCTGAGGCAGGCAGATCAGGAGGTCAGGAGTTCGAGACCAGCCTGACCAACATGGTGAAACCCCGTCTCTACTAAACATACAAAAATTAGCCAGGCGTGGTGGCACGTCCCTGTAATCCCAGCTACCAGGGGGCTGAAGCAAGAGAATCATTTTAACCCGGGAAGTGAAGGTTGCAGTGAGCTGACACCGCACCACTGCACTCCAGCCTGGAGAGCAGAGTGAGATTCTGTCTCAAAAAAAAAAAAAAAAAAAAAAAAAGCCATGTATGGTGGTGTGCACCTCTGGTCCCAGCTACTTGGGAGGCTGAGGCAGGAGGATCGCTGGAACCCAGGAGGTCAAGGCTATGGTGAGCTGTGGTCACACCACTGCACTCCAGCCTGGCTGACAGAGTGAAGCGCTGTTTCCAAAAAAACAAAAAACAAAACACACAAACAAAAAATTAAAATAGGTTTAACACAGAGAAAAGTAAGCACAATAAAAATAGCATATGATGTGTAAGATATTACATGTTATAGGATGTCAGAAGGGACATTTGAATTGGAAATCTTCAGAGAAGGTATCTTGAAGTAGGCAGTCATAAAATGCATGATGAAAGATGACAGATTTGGATAGCTGGAAAAGAAATGTGGGATGATTGAAATTTGAAATTTCCAGGGAGAAGCAATAGCATATGCAAAGAATGGAGAAAATAGTATATTTGATGTATGGAAATAAGAGTTAGAAGGGCAAGATAGAGTAATTCATCACTCAACTTGACAGAATTATTGACAGTGTAACAAAACTTTTGTTGGAAGACTTCCTTGAGGGGTTGAAGCTCATCTTGGGCAGTGACAATTTAGCAGCAAGTGCTAGATCTTGGAGTCCCCACATGAGGACTGCTGGAAGGAGATCGTGGTAATATTGTTGAATTATATTCAAGGCAAAGTGTTGGGGTGTACCAGCTTGTTTCCTTCTTTTCCAGGGGAAGTGAGCTGTGCTTACATTGCCCTTTCATTGTTTCCTGCTGGGCCCAGGAGCAAGGTTTGTGTCTTCTCCCCAAAACTGCATGTTTTTTTTGTGTTGTAAAATGCTACCAACCAATAATGTTGACTTGCCCTAGGGAGACCAGAGCCTGTGACAGCACCAAGTCCATGGAAACTACCCAGGCCATTGCTGATGAGAGGAAAACCCAGTTTTCTGACTGAGTGATACTTTGTTCCCAAGGATTTTTTAAGTTTGGAAATTACTGTGAATGATGATGATGATGATGATAATGATAATAATGAAATATGCCTGTATGCTGCCAAAGAGTGAAAAGTTGATTTGCAGTTTGGAAACAAAAGCCAGTTAAGAAGGTTAGAAATGAGCAAGCACTATAGGCATCTGTTTTACAAAGATGAATGAGACATGTTGCTTACTATCATTACTTATCATCAAGGCCTCACAATCCTTTCCCGGACACACTGGCTCATGTCTGCAATCCCAGCATTTTGGAAGGCCAAGGCAGGAGTTTGACGTCAGTCCAGGAAATTTAGTGAGACTCTATCTCTAACAAACAAACAAAAAAAGACCTTACAAACCATTAAAATTAATTTAGATGCTTATAGCATCAAGTCTAAGAACTCTTTTCCTAAACCTCAATTCCTCAAATTTTCTGGTATGTTTTATCTAAAATTTCATTGTGTTTTGTATTTGACTTTAAGTTAATATCCATTTTGACTTAATTTTTTATGTGTGCGATTTAGAATGCTTTTTTTTCTGTCATAGGATGTTCAATTGCTGCAGTATCATTTGTTGAATTGCTTTTGACCCTTATCAAAAATCAGTTGTACATATTTACACATCTATTCTGGTTCTCTATTCTGTTCCACTGGTCTATGTGTCTATCCCTCTGCCAATATCATGCTGTCTTGATAACATAGCTATATAGCAAACCTTTGTATTAGGTCAAGTGATTCTTCCCACTACATTTTTTCTATGGAAAAACATTGCTATTCCAGGGCCCATAACTTTTAATATAAATTTTAGAATAAGGCTGTCTATATCTACAAAAGTCTTCCTGGAATTATGCCAGAAATTCCATTCATTCTATATGTCAATTTAAGAAGAATTTTCTTTTTTTCTATATTAAGTTTTCTAATTCATGAATAGGGTATGTCTCTGCATCCATTTAGGCCACATTTGATTTATTTCACCGCTAAGTGGAAAAAAGCCGGTCCCAAAATGTTACATACTAAATAATTCTATTTATATTCTGGAAATGAAAAAAAAAAAAGAAATGGAGAACAGATTAGTGGTTACTAGTTGTTAAATACAGAGCAGGATTGGAGGCTGAGGAAATCAGCCATTGGATGTGGTTATAAGTGGCAATCTGAGGAAAGCTTGTGGTAATGGAACTGTTCTCTATTTTGACTGTGGTGGTGGACATACAACCTACACATGCTGAAATTGCATGGAACTAAGCACACATGCACACACACACAGAGTGAAAGTAAATCTGGGTAGATGTGGCTAAGATTGGTAGGTTTTATCCATGTCAACATCATGGTTTTGATATTAGGCTATAGTCTTTTCAAGATGTTACCATAGGCAGAAATTGATAAGAGGCACATGGATCTCTGCCTTATTTCTCACCTTTGTGTATGAATCTACAATGATTTCAAACTAAAAGATTTACTTAAAAGGAAGTAAAACACAATGTGATAAGTGCTAAGGTAAAAGGAAAAACAAGTTGTGATGGAAGCACATAGTGGAATTATAAAATCTAGACTGGTAAGCCAAGAGATTGAGTAGAAATTAGCCAATTGACAAAAAGGTTAAAAAAAAAAGCCCCCCAAAAAAGACCAACTTTTGCAAACAAAATATCCTAGAACATGCTATTTCTATTTTAAGCAATTTAAGATGTTTTTCAAGTAAGAAAAAAAGAAATCTTACTAGAGTGAAAGTTAGTAGCCAATTTCTGAAGGAATATGTAATGACATTAATGTTTGTGAATGTAAACCATAAAGCTATGTGAGCTCTTCAAAATATGTATCTATAGACATTAAAATCATATAATGTCAATGTAGTGAATATCACTGATAAAGCTAAAATTGGAGGCACAGACAACATAAATAGCTACAAAAATCCAAGTGAAATTGAAGACAGAGCGTTTGCCACAAAATAGTAACTGGACAAATATTTGTTGAATGTAAAAGACAGTGGCAGTAGAGAGGGTAAGGAGCCTTAAATATCCATTAGATATAGATGATGACAAACAAAGTAATCAAGATGACTCCCAGATTTCTTCTAGGGAAAACTCAGGAACAGATAACTCCAGGGTTACAGCTTAATTGTACCATCAATTTCCATATAAACATAAACAGATGTTAGCTTCTAGCCATCTTCCTTCTTTCTCTTTCTCTTTTCTCCAAAGAGATATTATAGTTCACCTTCTGTTATAAAAAAAATTGAGTGGACAGTGAAGATTACTAAGGGACAAGACAAGCAATTTCAATTCTTTTCCCTTATTTTTGTTTCAAACTATGTTACATCCTTCAACCACAGCATGGTTGTATTGTGCCTTTTGATTTCACTTTGGAGAGAAGTGTACATTATGTGTTTTGTCCCAAATGTTCAAATACGGTCACACTAGAAATAAAAATTATAATGTTTGTCTAAACTATATAAGGAGTGATCCTCAAAGATTTGCAATATCTTTGAAGCTGCCTATAGGTGGCAAAAACACTAATTTTAACTTCAAGATAACACACTGTATTTATTTTATTACATCCATGCAGTGGTGAAAATGGAAATTATTGACTCAGCAGACCTGACCTAATGTGCATTTAATCACTGAATTGATATTAATTTATTTCCTTAGGCATGAGCCAGGAGATCCCAGGACAGCACTTATTAGACGTCTCTCACACTCCTAATTCAATGATTTTGATGCATCTTAGAGAACTTTTAGACTGAAATATTTGGTTTTTATGACAGATATGTTTGTATGGAGCAAATAAAAGTCAGTCAGTTTAAACCATGAAGTAATAGGTTGACTTTTGGAATGATAAAAGACTTAGATTATTCTTTCCTCATTGTCTGCATTATCATTAATAGATAATTTAAAATTATGCATTCAAATATTAATTCTAGCCACCTTTCAAGTGTGTGCAGAAACTTTTGATTACTTCGAAAAGTCATCTAGATTTGATTTCTCAAAGTACCTTGCTACCTTGTCCATCATATCTAGAGGAAATTTTCTATTTTGTCAAACACACACACACACACACACACACACACACACACACACACCCGAATGTCTAGAATCTAGAAGCTAAACATCATGAATTTCTTTCTTTGTTTCTGTTTATGAAATTTGTAGCTGGCAATGAAATGCATGAGATTAGATATTACATAAAATTATAATTCAGAAGAAAAATATATATACTATATTAAAAATAATAGAAGGCTTATGCTGACAGGAACATATTTATGGATGTATTTAAACAGTGAAACTATGTCTACTTTAACTCGACAAAACTGAGGGATTGTTATCTAACGCATTAGAAATTTTGATTGATTTTGCCCTTTTTCTTAATAGACTTTTACAGTAGTAGACAAAGGAAGAAATAAAGTACCCAGATAATCGATCTGTATCATATTGGAAAGGTCAAAATAGAATGGTACATTACTACTGTCAGAAATATATAAAACATTAACATTCCTGTACCAAAGTCTCATCACATAAATCGTATTGGGGACTGATGAAGACACAGTATCTGTCCATTCTCATGACCAAAATAGCTATTAAACTGGAAATAGAACTGCATAAATCTAATCTTAGGAGAGATGCTGACTGAAGAAAATACACTGAATTCATTCTTTGTTTTTATGGGATCTTGTGTTCTCACTCAAGCAATCGTGTAAGTACTCAGATGATTTCCTGCAAGAAACACTCAAATCAACATATATGTACCCATGACTTACAAAATAACATCTTTGTTAGAAACAGACCAAGGCATGAAGAAAAACCAAATAATAATAAATTTAATAGATTATATATAGAACATAAAAATAAATAAGAGCAACTAAGAATTACATTTTGCTTATGGTTAAATTGATGCTGTATAGGAACTTGAAGGAAATTTGTACATATATGTGAAGAGCTTCACATTTAATTTATTAAAGTATTTTTGAACATTCCTTATATCTATGATAGCTATGTAATTGTGTTATTTATAAATAATTGTGAAAAGTGTTTCTTATTAAATTGTATATTAACAAAAAGTAAAGTTTGTATTTTATTTTGTGGGATTCAAAAAATTGCAGTGTGTGCACAAGTTGTGTATACATTTGAACACATACCAAATCATGAGTTGTATTCATTATTTAATATGCTAATGGGATAAAACTTGTTGCTTAACAGGGCATTTTTAACAGAGAGATGAATTCTAAGAAGCATTACAAATTTGAGTCACTTCTTAGCTTTGAAGAGAACTTGTGTTCTTCTTCTGCCTCCTGGCAGTTCAGCTTAAGTTGAAATTTTTGTAGCAAACCTCTTATCACAACTCCTACATCTGAGGGAAGTCAGTAATGATACTTGCACTGGAGCCTTCATTGTGATTTTAAAATACCCTTACTTTGGGGGAAAAATCCACATTATATATTACACACAGCATAATTGCCAAAACCAAAATATTTATGGGAATGAACTTTCAGGTAAGTTTTTATATTGGAAAAAAATATTATATTGTAAACCTGACATTAAAAATCAAATGTAAATCAATAAATATTTGCATGTGCATTAAGTACAACATAGCTTGTTTTAAAATACGTAGCTAATAAATAATAGCAAACACTCCCAAGGAGTTTATAATCCAGCATAAACTGATTATAAAATAAAATAAAATGAATACATATAATGCAGATAATAAAAGTTAAAATGCCATAAATACTACAAAAGACATTTAAAAATGCAGTGAGGAAGATTAGAGAAAAAATAGATTAATATGGATAAAATACCAGGAAGAGCTTCATGGAGGGAGTGATAGAGTTTAACAAGCAGAAATTTCAGAGGGAAAAACTTGGGGTGGATACTTCAAATAAGGAAATAAAAGAAGAAGCGAGCAAAAAGGGGAGGTGTGGAGTGTATGGAGAAGTTTTGAGCAATAGCGGTTTATTAGAAAGAAAATAGCTTACGTACCTAAAGAAGTACTGGGATATGCAGGCTGAAAATATGATGGGCATATTGCAAATAACCTGAACGTCAAGTTGAATAGGTTAAATCTAATCTTAGGGGAGGCTGAGGCACGAGAATCACTTGAATCCGGGAGGGAGAGGTTGCAGTGAGCCGAGATTGCGCCACTGCACTCCAACCTGGCAGCAGAGTGAGACTACATCTCAAAAAAAAAAAAAAAAAAAAAAAAAAAGGTTAGATTTCACTTAAAAGGAAAGACAGCAACAGAAAGTTTTTTTAGTAAGTATATGAGCAAGAAAGTTTAATTTTGTGTATTAGGGTTCTCCAGAGAAACAGAACCAATAGGATCTATTTAGATGTAGATCTAGATGTATGGATTTATTGTAGAAATTGGCTCGTGAATTTATGGAAGTCGAGAAGTCCCATTGTCTGCAGTCTTCAACCTGGAGAACCAGGAAACCTGGCAGCATAATTCAGGCTGAGCTGAAGGGCTGAGAACCTAGGGCAAGGCGTGGCAATGGTGTAAGTCCTGAGTACAAAGTCTAAGAACCAGGAGCACTGGTGTGTGAGGGCAGAAGAAGATGGATGTCACAGCTGAAATAGAGTGAATTTGTCCTTTCTCTGTATTTTTGTTCTATTCTGACCTTCACTGGATTGGATGATGTCAATTCACTTGGATGAAAATGATCTTCTATACTTAGTGTACTGATTCAAATCCTAATGTCTTTCAGAAACACCTTCACAGACACAACTAGAAAGACTATCTGGGCATTTCTTAGCCCAGTCGGGATGGCATACAAAGTCAATCATCACATTTTGAAAAGTATACAGAATGAATCATGTGAGCCACCTTTCCAACTCATTTATTTTTCAAAGGTCTTTATGTGGATTAAAAAATAATCCTATCATTCAGTGGCACTAACTCCTAAATTTGAGACCATCATTTTAGTTTATACAAGCACCTTACTTAAATTTATTTTTAGTTTGGTATATTGTTTGACACTCATATAGGAAGAAAAAAATGTTTTCAAAATGGTCAAAAGAATAAAGTGTATAGAGATTATTAAATTAATTTGAAGAGTGTTATAATTCTCTAATCAAGTAAAATTAAGTGTGAAATAGGATAGGGTAGTGGTAATGAATATAAAGAATTACATTTAAGGAAAAAAGAGAAATGATCATAGTTAATCCTAGTGTTTTGATCTGTAGGACATAAAAGAATGGAGAATAAGCGAATTGTATACAAATGGTAAGAGAAAGCAGCTTGAGGTGAGTGGGGCCACTGGTGTTGAGAAACGTGTTGAATTTCACCTGTGAAAGACAGTTGAAGTTAGGCAGAATAAAGTCACAGTCATGGGAGAGGATCTCTGGGAAGAGATAATAGCTGGAAGCGAGGTTGGCAATTATCAACAGCACAGACATGATTAAAACAATGGAACGAAATATCAACAAAAGAATAAAGATTATAAAGATAAGACAAATAGAAGGATAATTTGGGAAGACCCTGTTTAAATGAAAGGAGGAAGGCAAAATACACAAAGTAGTTACAATAAAGAACAAAGATATTTGGAATGATGATGGTAATTCAGGCAATATTGCTGCTCACGAAGATGGAAATTATAGTAGGCCATTTAACTTCTACTATGTGCTAATAATCACTGTGCTAGTTGCATTTAATGCTTTTCAGATTTAGTCTTCAGAACATAACTGTGATGTCTGTATTATTTATTTATCCATTATTTTTAAATATAAAAAAGTGATGCTCAGAGAGATTTTTTTTTAAAAAAAGGGGGCAGCCCTAGGATTTTTTAAACTTGAGATTCCTAGATGTTAACCTTAATAAATATTTCCTCAGATATTAAAAAATCAAGAAAAGAGATCAATTCAAGAAGGGTGAAATCTACTTTGGCTATTAAACAATCTGTCAACTGTAGGTAAAGGATATAGGCTTTCTGATTTTATGAATTAGATAGGCAATGAAAGAAATAAAAGTGGGGCAAAGACTTTTGTTTCTAACTAAGATGTAGTAACAGAGACAGAATTATCCACTCGATCGGGAAAAAATAAAAATCAGAAAAAAATACATGAAATAATGGTTTTCACTATGTCAGACACCAGGCAATGAAGGATAGTGATGCTTGAGATGTAGAAAATAAATAAGGTAAGCCCCTTTACTGCCCAGGCTATTTCCTGGAGATAATTTACAGGCCATAGTGCAGGGAGAAGAAACTCAGGAAGAGTCCTGTGCACTGCAATGGAGCTGAGATTTCAGGGCCGGGGGAAAGGAGGCTGGAGTTCACGGGGCGGAGAACTGGATGGGAGAGGACTTCACAGAATGCAAGGACCATGGAACCGCAGGGTGTCAGCCTTGAGTCTTCAGCTAAATGCCCAGTACATGAATGTGAAAAAATGACTTGAGGCCAGCACAGAACTCTCCAAAAGGATTGGTTGAAATAAATTCTAAGATTCACAGAGGGGCAGGGATATTTCTCATTCCTTTATTAAACAGGGTGGAATTTCTTCTATATGTTAATTACTATGGTGGTTCACATATATCCACATATTTCTTTTCTTTCTTTTTTTTTTTTTTTTTGAGATGGAGTTTCACTCTTGTTGCCCAGGCTGGAGTGCAATGGTGCGATCTTGTCTGATTGCAACCTCTGCCTCCCAGGTTCAAGCGATTCTCCTGCCTCAGCCTCCCTAGTAGCTGGGATTACAGGGGCCTGCCACCACGCCCGGCTAATTTTGTATTTTTAGTAGGGACGGGGTTTCTCCATGTTGGTCAGGCTGGTCTTGAACTCCCGACCTCAGGTGATCTGCCCGCCTTGGCCTCCCAAATTGCTGGGATTACAGGCATGAGCCACCGTGCCCGGCCATATATATCCACATATTTCTTGATGTTCCTCTTCCCAGGAAGGAGACTTTAATTCACAACCTCTTGAGTATGTGATTAGACTTAATGAGTCACTTCTAACAAATAAAGTATAGAAAAATAAAGATGCTTAACTTCACAGTAGATAAAACAGGCAGATACCACTTTAACCCAAGTGGTCAGGGGTTAATACCACTAGCAATGTCATTTTGATGCCTGTACAATTTGATGTGAGGTGATGTGATGTGATGATGTGATGTGATGTGATGTGATGTGATGTGATGTGATGTCGTGATGTGATGTCATGATGTGATGAGAAAGGCACTGTACCTTTATGATATTTTTCTCCAAAATCCATAGCCTCAATCTATTCATGAAAAAACATCAGGTAAACTCACACTGTGGAGCATTCTACAAAATGCCTGAGCAGTACTGTTTAGAAGTGTCAAGGTCCTGTGAAACAAGGAAAGACTAAGAAACTGGCAGAGATTGGAGGAGATTAAGCAGATGTGGCAAATAATACTCTGGACTGCTACTGGAACAGAACAAAGGAAATTGATGGTCACATGAATTCCAAATAAGGATTTTAGTTTGGCTAACAAAAAGAGGAGAAGGAGAATAAAGGAAGAAAGAAATAGGTAACCTGAATAGTTGCATATATAATAACAAATTATATTAAATGTAAAACATCCCAGAATAAATAAAACTTAAGGACCAGATGTCCTCACTGGTGAATTCTAGCAAGCACTTAAGGAGGATATAACATCTGTTCCACACAATCCCTTCCAGAAAATTGAAAAGGAGAAAATACTTCCCAACGAATTCTACAAGGCTAGTGTTACCCCAATATCAAAATCAGTACAACAATAAAACAAACAGAAATCCTAAAAGATATTACAAAGAAATGTAATTACTGACCAACATTTATATAACAAAATTTTAGCAAAGCAAATAGAAATACATATAGAAAGGATAACCCACATTACTAAATGGAATATCTTCCAGGAATTCCATTATTCAAACATTGAAAAATCAGTCAATATCTTTTCCTATATTAGACTACAGAGGACTAACCACAGAATCATCTCAAAAATGAATAAAATTATTTGACAATGTTTAAAATTCATTTCTAATTTTATAAAAAAAACTGTCAGCAAACATAGAAAATAACTTCCTCAACCTGATAAAATTATCTACAATTTATCTAGAATTAAATTTGTCTAGAGAAACAAAAATCTCTAGAAAGAAACAGAAGAAACCAAAGGTGTAGCTCAGTCTTTTTATAAATGATTCTGGAAAGTAACATGCCATCACTTCTACCACATTTTATTATTTCGAAGCTATCTCAGCCTACACTGAGGATAATGAATTTAAGATTCTCTTCTTGTAGGGAGAATCATGTAAATATTTATCCACATATTTTGAAAACCACAACTGCTAACCCTCTGGGCACAAATTATTTAATTCCACATTAACACACACACACACATGCACACACACAGGCACACACATGCACACATTAAATCGTACACTTAAATACATTCGTTTTATTATTTATCAAATTTAATAAAAATGTTTTTTAAGTAGCAAAAGGCAGAGGGATAAGAAACAAATTAAGACACGGAAACAATACTAATAAAGACATTTTTTACAAAGTGGCAACATGAGCAGTGTCATATGATGATGAAAGTTTACAGAATTTGAAGACAGAGAAATTCCTTTTGGAATTGTTGAAAACTTGATCAGTATATGTCATAGGGAATTTCTTTCAGAAAAGAAAAAGTTGAAAATATCCTCAGGTTAAAGCCAGCAATTAGTAATATATACCTTCCCTATTTGTTCAAATGGTTTGTTTTTTTTCCAGATCTTACTGTTTCCTTAATATTTAATTTCATTACCACCTCTTAAAATGTTTGATTTTAAAATAGCAGGTAGAAATAATATAACTTAACTTCTTAAATGACATGAAACTAATTAACTTTGAATAGGTATTTCCCATAATTCAACTTAGAAGAGTGAAAAAGGTGTAAAGTTCATATTAGAGCATCTATACTCTTCAATAAATGTGATTTTCAGTTCTAGAAAATGCAAATCAGATAAAATCTACCTTACAAGATTTACCAGTCTATATAAATAAATATATTGCACTATTAACTTCTCATGTTTGTCAGTGATGTCTTTCAGCCAAAATAGTTAATTGGATATCATAATTAAACATTAAGATAATTAATAATATGGCCAAATATGTTCATTTGTTGTTTAGTTTACATTTAGTGATTAAAGACAAACTTTACAAAGTATTCAGAGGATTTTGCAGATTAGTTCATTACAAACTACTAATGAAAACTATTTTCTGATGGGATTTGGGGATTTCGGAAGAGGCTCTTTTCTTATATTGGCAAAAACTGAATCACCTTACTAAATTTCAATTCACAGTTAAAAATTGCTTTTAGCCAGATCATCCCCATTCAATTATGTATGCTATACAAATGATTTTTACTAAATTATGTTATAACAATGATATAAATAATTTCATTTATTTTCTCAAGATTTTACCCACTCATTGTCATCTCTTTTCTGCCTGTGCTTTCACCAGCAATCTTTTGTCACATTCAGTGACTTTTTCATTCATCTTTTTATTTGATCTTTTGCAGCAACCGACATAGTAGACTATTTTCTTCAGCAGTCTGCTTACCTACTGAATATATGTCAATTCTGTTTTTAAAAACAAGCAAACATATTTGTAGTTGTTTTTCTCTTCCCTCTAAACAGTAGCTACTTTAGAATTATGTCTTGAGCTCACTTCTGTTTTCGATCTGTGGTCTCCTTAGGTTACTTTATCCATTTATCCTCATGAATACTAAATACACACCTCCTTTTTTTCTGGTATATTAGGTTTCATATCTTCCCCCGCCCCCGCCCCCACCCTGCCCGGCCCCGGTCTGGCTCCTTGGCCAGGCTGGAATGCAGTGGCGCGATCTCGGCTCACTGCAACCTCCGCCTCCCGGGTTCAAGCGATTCTTCTGCCTCAGCCTCCCGAGTAGCTGGAATTACAGGTGACCGCCACTACGCCCGGCTAATTTTTGTATTTTTAGTGGAGACGGGGTTTCACCATGTTGGCTAGGCTGGTCTTGACCTCCTGACTTCATGATCCGCCAGTCTCGGCCTCCCAAAGTGCTGGAATTACAGGCGTGAGCCTGGCCAAGTTTCCTACGTTTATTACAACTCTCTTAATTTGGATAACTTTGTGCAAGTCAAATGCATTATTGTTCAAGCTAAAATTCTAGACTCCCCCTCCAAACCTGTTTTCTATCCTGTCTTATTTCAGTTAATGACAGCTCCATTTCATTAATTTTCTAATACTGTCATCCTTACTACTGGTATTTCATTTCACTCTTGCATTATCTAAACTATTGAGAATGTGCTCTCCTCACATGATAATTCTATTGTGGTTAACGTTTCTTCAATATATAAAAACTAAAAGATTATTAGGATAATCACCAAGGTTTTCCATTCCCATGATTAGTTATTTTTAGATTTCAAGACATAAAAATGCATTAATTAAAAAAAAATTACACATGGGTCATATTTTCACATGAAGCTTAACTAAAGTGTTCATTATTATGCCAAGTTCCATTCCCTTTCTGTTTCTCTGGGGCAAAAGTTGTTTTGAGTTTGCTATACACTTTTTCTTTTTATGTAGTTTTTAATACAAATAAAAATATTGCTTGGCACTTCCTGATTTTTCACTCAATGTTATGAGTTTGAGATATATATTTGTTTACCTATGGAAGGTTTTAGTTTCTCAACAGCTTTTCAACTTACAGCTCATTTTCCTTCTCTGTTTCCCAGTAAATGGCATATTTTGATTGTTTCTAATATTCATCCACTACAAATAGCATTGCAAGGGATGTTTTCAAATGTCTCCTTGCGAACATAAGTCAAATATAGTCTAGGGTATATACTTAGAAGAGAAACTAATGCGCCAGGAGGTATATACATTCCCCATTTAATTAGATATTCCCACTGCTGTCCAAATTGGCTGTTACTAGCAGTGTTTGTGAACCACTTTTGCTTTGCATCCTTCTTAATTATTGATACTCTCCTGTGGTTTTTTTCTTTCACTTTTGCTCATCTCATGGGTTAACTAGATTATTCTGTAATGATTTTAAAATTATTAAAAATAAATCTAATTATGTTACTCTCTTACTTATAACAATTTGATAACATTGCATTACTTCCAGTTTAAAATAAAACAATAGAACAAAACACAACAATAAATTAAAATACTTTTACTATCTGGGCCCAAGTGGTTCCTTCTCAATTCAAAACACAACTTTTTTTTTTTTTTAAATACTTTAAGTTCTGGGATACATGTACAGAACATGCAGGTTTGTTACACAGGTATACATGTGCCATGTTGGTTTGCTGCACCCATCAACCCATCATCTACATTAGGTATTTCTCCTAATGCTATCCCTCCCCTAGCCCCTTAGCCCCTGACAGGCCCCGGTGTGTAATGTTCATTTTATAAACACAAAACAACTCATCTCTTTCTCAAACATGTTGTGTCCTTCTCATTTCTCTGTTCTTATATACTTTTTCTCCTTTCACAAGACCAATCTTGAAGACTTCCGGGAAAGCTTAAATAAGGCAATATCGGTAAAGTCTTTAATAATCAAAGTCATAATTTGTCACACAGCATTCTCAATAAATTAATTTAATGATTATTCTCTATTTGGGGTTTATATGTCAAGTTCTATCTCACTACTTAACTTCTATGTGCATTTAGCCTTTGCTACCACAACTTGTGAAACATAATTCTATTATTAGAATAATCACAGTTTTTGCCATATGTATTTACATGTCTGTCTTCACCCATAATCCCTGAGTACCTATCCTTCTTATTCTTTTTAGTAATATTGATGCTATATATAGTGCTGGGTTCTTTGTAGGAGCTACATCTCTAGCCAATTTTAAATAAATTAGTTTGAATAAGCTACAATAATATCCACTTTGATTTTTTCTGCCTAAAATTATTGGTAATGTGGCTTATAAGAGCAAGGATTTATTTAAATGCTCTTTTATATGAAGTGAGGAGGATTGAAGACAATGTTCTGTCTCTTTAAAAAAAGTCTTTTCTATTCTCATTTCCTTCTCAACTCTTCAAAAAGGTGATTTCAGCTCTCCAACAAAATATGCCCTGAAAATAATAAGCCTGGAACATGTGCAAATAAAGTCTGTGAAATGTAAGTGCTCCAGTTTTCCACTTGCAGTCAAGCTGACAGTCAGACTTCAATGGTCAATAGGAGCTGCGGCAGAAGTGGTCTTATTTGACTACAGTAGAATTTTCTTTGCCTGTCAAAAGCAGTCCAGACCCTTCTTGAGTCGTCATATCAGGATTATTACAGAATAGAGTCCAGACTCAAGAATGCTAAATCAAATCATGAAGTACAAGAAGCACTCAGCTGGGGAATGGATTAAGTATCCTGGATTTTGCTGTATGTAAATTAGTACCTGGAAACCAAGTCAGCAACAAGAAAGCAGTCATGAACACGGAGAGGAGTATCGTGTTTTTAATAGAGAGTAACTAAATGCATTCTTATTGTGTTCTTTCGTACTTTTTTCAAGTTTTAGAAAGTACCTATTTGGCACCTAAATACTTCTGAAATATAATGTATAATGCAATGTAGTTCTTTCCTGAATTAATACTCCATTACTTACATAAAAAATACCCTGGAAGTTGAGCCTAGAGACCTCTCCTGAGAGTAAGGTGATGGGAATCTCTTGCTTAAAACCAGTGATGAAGAAGGGAGTATAAATCCTATGAATTTAATTGAAGTGAGACAAACCACAGGCTTCAGAAGTACCGGTTAAAACAAGTGAGAACCAAAAGGGATGAAACAAATTAGAACCACAGATTAAAAAAAAAAAAAAAGATCTTAGCAACAAAATCAACATCTTGCACCTATTGCTGTATTTTAAAACCTCCTATCTTACCTGAGAGGTTATCTTTTGACTTACTTAAATGTGTCTTTTTAAAGCTCTGAAAACATATAGCATAAGAAGAAAGAAGTAACAATTTTAGGTCAGGCGCGCACGCCTGTAATCCCAGCACTTTGGGAGGCCGAGGCGGGCGGATCATGAGGTCAGGAGATGGAGACCATCCTGGCTAACACAATGAAACCCAGTCTCTACTAAAAATACCAAAAAAAAAAAAAAAGAAAAGAAAGAAAAAAAAATTAGCCAGGCATGGTGGCGGGCACCTGTAGTCCCAGCTACTTGGAAGGCTGAGGCAGGAGAATGGCGTGAACCCGGGAGGCGGAGCTTACAGTGAGCCGAGATTGCGCCACTGCACTGCAGCCTGGGCGACAGAGTGAGACTCCGTCTCAAAAAAAAAAAAAAAAGAAGAAGAAGAAGAAGAAGTAGCAATTGTATTTATTACTCTTTCCTCACATTTTATATTTATACAAGTAGAATAATTTTGGCTTATATGTACTATTCACAGAGTTTTAAGACCTCAAATGTCTTGATTAGCTAACTCCTGTTAAATCTTATTTAGGTTATGAATTTCTGACTTAAAAAACAAATAAAAATAGAACAAAAAATAACCATAGAAAAATAGAAAACTAAATTTGTGAAACTTTGCTGAAATAAATAGTGTCTGGATGTTATATTAGAAATAAATAATAAACAACAGTTCTGGATCAGATAAGTTTGACAAAACATGATGAGAAAGAGTATTAAGTTAGGGCATGGATCAGCACTACTTGCAGTATGTGAATAAGCATTTCAAATATCATAAAAAGTCATTTGGAGTCAAAGTTCTAAAAATACTGACCTCAGAAACATTTACTGTAAGTGTGTCTCCCATGTGAGCATTCTGAAGAATACATATTGGGAAATGGTACCTTATGATGTATTAAGGATTAAAGTATAGTCTACATTCTTGGAACAAGTTATATTAATGTGAAAGAGTTAGATGTGAAAGATGGTAAGTATTGGAATGCTGTTAAAATTTTGATGAGGTCTAAGTCAAAGCTTCTCATGTTTTTCCAATGTATGGGTAGATAGTCATGATCA